>NC_000012.12:70187400-70338915 GCF_000001405.40 Homo sapiens
AGCTAGTACATAACAGGAAGAGAGGGAGGTGAAAGGGCTTATATTCAAGCAACTATAATAACCACCACCACCACCACCATTTACTGAACACCCACCATGTTCCAGTGATTATGTTAATCATTTTAAGGATATTATTGCATTTATTAAAATATTATTTCTTAAAAAGGAAATAAAAAGTAGGACAATTTCTTGCAAAAAATTTTAATTCAGTAAAACAACTTAAGGCAGATAATGATGATGATAACTATCATTTGTTGAACAGCTATTTGCTAGACACTGTTAGGCACTTAATCTAGATTTTATCTAATTCTCACAATTACCCAACGAGATTACTATTATGTATTTCATTTTACAAATCAAAAATATGAGGCACGGAGGGATTAACTGACTTGATCAAGACTACACAGCTGGTAAGTGATGGAACATACTATTATATGTGGTAACAAACATTGGTTACATGGAATTATTTACTCTTTCTTCTTAACTGCCATGAAAACTTACCTATCATAGACCTAACTACATAACTGGTATTTTATTTTTAATCTTTTTTTTTTTATTATTATTATACTTTAAGTTTTAGGGTACATGTGCACATTGTGCAGGTTAGTTACATATGTATACATGTGCCATGCTGGTGTGCTGCACCCACTAACGTGTCATCTAGCATTAGGTATTTTAAATAATTATTTTTGTTTCCCATAATTTTACTTAAGATCCTTGATGTGGACAATCTTTCTCCTACCCTTGGATTAAAACTCAGGTAGACCCCATATTTTTTCTGGCCACTCTTGGGTAAAGTCCTACGATCATGTTAAGTCACAAATATAGTCTGAGTATAGTAATTATAAGTGTACAATAATAGATAATGATCAAAACTCCAAAATTGTTTTAATGTTAAAGTCTTCCTGCCTTTTGCAACATGGGCCAGCAGAGGCTGGACACAGGCAAGTTGGAAGTGAGTGCAGTCCTCCTTCCTGTCCCTGCTGTTTCCCCTAGTTTATTAACTATGATTTTTGATTTTCTGTTTCCACCAGAGTGAAAGTTGGGATGGGGAGGGGAGAAGAAATAAAAGGATGAGAAAGTTTTTACATGACTGTTATTGTTGTAAGGTGACTCTGTGCTCTCTGGGACTGGAAGACATATAATTTGACATTTTTATCCCCCCATGGGCCATTTTTATTCGCTCTTTGGAAATCTCTGTTGAGGGCCTCTCAACTACCATTTTCTTGATCTGGCTGAATGGATTTTATTCTGGCAGCTAATTCTTCTAGAATCCTTCAGCTCACCTCCACTTCCTTCCTTCTGAGGTCCCATCACCCTTCTAAGCAGTACCATTGAACAGAATCTAATACAAATGCAATATGAACTGAGACAGATTGTCTCTAAAGCTAGCCATAACACTCTCTCCTCAACCCCTTGCTCTTTTGTAATGTGGTTTCCACTCTTCCCATAAGGAGATGAAGTCTATTTTCCTTTCTTTTGAAACTGGGACCATCCCAATAAAATGCAGCAAAAGCTATGCTTTGTGACTTCCAGGCCTACATCTTAAGAGATCTTGCAGCTTCCATTTTTGCCCCTTTGGAGTTCTGAGTCATCATGCATATTAGTCCAACTACCCTGCTGGAGAGAGAGGCTCAGCCAGATCCCAGGTGTTCCAGTCATGCCAGCTGAGGCACCAGGTATGGAGTGGACATTTTAGATACCCCAGGAACACAGAGAAGAGAGATCCCAGCCAACACCGCAGAGACAAGCCAGCCCTGAGCCTACCCCAAATTGCAAAATTGTGAGCATATAAATTATTGCTTTTATTTTAACCTTCTATATTTTGTGGTAGGTTTTTATTTTTTCTTATTTTTTATTTTAGCAGCAGTATATAACTGATAAAAGGCTATCTGGTCTACAGTAAACACTCCTGTATTCCTGATCACACATACTTTGGGAGGGCAGAGAACTCTCCTTCATTTTGCTGCTCATGTTGTTTGTCAACCCATCTCAAAGATTTCCTAAGTAGAGTCAAACAGCAACCCAATAAAGTTAAACATATACTTAACTTATTGACCCATAAATGCCACTCCTAGCACAAGAGAAGTTGAAGACATGTTCACATAAAGACCTATTTACAAATGCTTAAAATAGCTTTATTCATAATTACCAGAAACTGGGAGGAATCAAAAAATTCATCAACTGGTGAATGGATAAACAAATTGTCATTCATCCATGAAATTACTGATGCATGCAACAACATGGATGAGTCTCAAAAGCAATATGTTAATTGAAAGAAGGAAGATACAAAAAGCTACATATTATTATATAATTTCGTTCATATGACATTCTGAAAAAGACAAAACTAAATGGGCAAAATTCAAACCAGTGTTGGTTAGCATCTGGGAGTATGAGAAGGGTATTAACTTCAAAGTGGCACCAGATAACTTTTTTGTGTAATGATGTGGTATTTTTTACATGACTGCGTACATTTGTCAAAACTCATACCTAACTTAAAAGGTTAATTTTACTGTGTGTATATTATACCTCAATAAACCTGACTTAATAAATAAAATCCACTAATGCCCTTCAACCATGGTTAACACATATCAAGCTATATAAGTAGTCTTATGGAAACCCCTGTCACCGGAATTGAGTGCCAGCTTACCCAATCCATTTGGGTGGTGAAGGTTGGTAATTACAGTATAGCATAGCTCTCTCTAAATTAATCATCCTCAAAAATCTCTTCAACCTTCCAAAAAGCCAAACATTTCGTGCTTTTTTTTTTTTTTTTTTCAGAGACAGGGTCTCACTCTGTTGCCCAGGCTGGAGTGCAGTGTGGTGCAATCGTAGTTCACTACAGTGGACTACAGGCACACACGAGCATGCCCAGCTAACTTTATTGTTTTCCAAATTCTTTTTACAGGCAAGTCTCACTACTGCTCAATCTGGTGTCTAACTCCTAGCCTCAAGTGATCTTCCCACCTTGGCCTCCCAAAATGCTGGGATTATAGGCATGAGCCACTGCTCCTGGCCTTTTTATGCACTTAATAAGGATGAGTCATCTAACATATTTTTGACTGTTTCCTTTGAAAATTTGCATCTGGATTATCATATCCTCTGGAATGTGCCCTCTGTTGTATCTTGGTGTCTCAATTGAAATTTGTGGTATTTATATACATTATAAAGTAATGCTACATAGAGAAACATGATTATTTTTATGTCAGTTTCTAGGAAATAATTATCTACCCACATATTTACCATTTGAAAAGCTCTTCATTCTTTCTTAAATATCTGAATTTCCATCTGTTACCATTTTCCTTCTGCCTGAAGAACTTCCTTTTGTATTTTTTGCAGTGTAGGTCTGCTAGCAATAAACTCTCTTGGTCTTCTTTTGTCTTTACTTTTCATTCTTTTCTCTTAGAAACTCATAGTGAGCATATAACATTACTACTATCCAGGCATGTTGCTATTCAGGTTTTATGAGGTTTCTGTGAGTAAGTGACTGTTTCAGCAATGGGTAAAAACACAGTCTAAACTGAACAAAACAAAACAAAACAAAATGCACACTTTTAAAATGTATTTTGATGTTCATCAAAGGTTTAGGGGGAAAGGAATCCTGCTCTAGCATAACAGACTAAAAAAGTCTTCTAAATCTGAGATAAGACCACATTTCTGAGAACAAAAGCTAACTTCCTCACTGATTTAAAATTATGTTTTGTATTCTCTAATTCTGGAGCAAGTTATCAATAAGATGTGTCTTTTAGGATGATTTGCAGGACTTTAGGAGTAATTATTAATGAGCTTTTGCTGTTTACAAGTGTGTGTGTGAAGGTGTGTGTTTGTATATATAAACCAAATTTAATGCACAATAATTTTTGAGTAGGTAAATGATTGTCAACTATTTTATTTTACCTCTTTACAAAAATTAAAAATTTTCTCTAATGGGATGAGTTTTACAATAATATTTAAAAATCAAGAAACCTCAAATCTAAAAAATAAGGAGATTGAGGCTCCTTGTTTATACAGTGATTACCATTTTATAGATAAGAACACTGAGGCTTACAGATTTTATGTAACTTGCTTAAGTCACAAATCTAGTAAGTGTTAGAGGTAAGAATCAAATCTAGGTTTATCATATGACTAAGCAAGTGTTCTTCATCTTTACCCCCTCTGATTTCCTATCTTCTTTGACCTTACATGTTAGCAGTAAAAAACAAACAAACAAACATATATTGGTACATATGTTCTACTAGAGTAACATTTTGTGAATATATTATGCACATTGTAAAACATGCAAAAATGGAAACTATAAGGGGATAAGAAAACAGAAATAGAAATAGAAGCACAAGTAGTTTTTTCACATACCCCACGGATCATCTAATACATGCCCTAGGTACTGAGTGTCCACTCTAGAGAATGTTGCTTAGATTCTCTGAAAATTATTTGATTTTTAAAATGAAAATATTATTCACAGCTTTTGCCAAATTTAGATGTACTATGTTTGAACTTGTGATTTCCTAGGCAAGTATATTCCAATCTAATTTAGCAGGGAGACATAGTATAGAGTGAGAATAGCAGCTGGAAGAGATTGCTACAGAGAGCAGAGGGAGGTAGAATAGAGATGGAAGAACATTTGTAGACATTCAAACGTAAGCAATCTGTGTTTGTGTACAAAATCAGGCTAATTAACAATTTAAAACAGAACAGGTTAGAGTCCTTTTTATAACATAAATACACATTAGGAATATATATATATATAGTTTCTATAACATAAATAAATGATATTATATATGTATATACAATTATATGAAAGATAGAAAGTTGGTCACATTATGCCCAATAGCAGCCATTATTTAAAATTGAAAATATGTTTAGAAATAACACAGGCATAGGAATGTTACCCCCAAAAAATCAACTAACACTGAATCTATAATTATACTATTATGTTAAACCACATCTTTAAACATAGAAAGTCCATCAAGATTGTTTCACAATCATCTGCCTAGATTTCTTGGTCATTTATGCCATCTGATTTTCATAAGATGACACAGATAAAACTCATATATTTGAAGAATGCAAACTCATAAAATTGTTATGTATCTGAATAAATTTTGTTTTTGTTTCTTCTTCTATTAACATTAGGTTGTTATTCTTTTTTTTTTTTTAGTATTTATTGATCATTCTTGGGTGTTTCTCAGAGAGGGGGATGTGGCAGGGACATAGGATAATAGTGGAGAGAAGGTCAGCAGATAAACACGTGAACAAAGGTCTCTGGTTTAACATTATGTTGTTATTCTTTGACTCCCAATTATATTTTTCTTCATCCTTTTTGGATTATTTATCTTTTGGGAATGATACAAGGGAGAGGAGACGGAAGAAACGGCACCTCTAATATCTCAGGATCTTGAAATTTTATATAGCCTTCAACTTAGACTTTTCTTTTACTCAGACTGATCCTTAAACTCTAAGTTAACACATTTTAGGGTTTCTTTTCAAATTGAAACCAGAAAATTCAGACCCAAGGACTTGACATCTCTGTGTAGGAGAGAGAGGTTCTCACAAAACGGTACAGTATACATCTATAATTCATGGGAATTTCCTAAGGAATTCCTAAGAAATACCAGCTAAATTTCCTAAGAAATACCAGCAAATATAATCATAATCATCTATCCCATTAACTAAAATCTCAGCCTACAGTGCCTAAACCCAGATATTTCATGACAAAGGATAATATACAGACTATCTTTCCTCCAAGCCTCAAATTTCCTGTTCTTATTATGTATCTTTCTTCTTACAATGATTGTTTTAAAGAACCATCTTTGAAGTCCTTTGAGATGCAACTTATCATTTCTGCTCTAGATTTTCAAATATTAATAGAAAATACTGTTTCTTTGGCATTATCTGAAAGAAGCCAGTCTATGGAAAAAGTAATTGTGACCATTGTTTTATTCTTTTAATTTATCTCTTGTGTTAAAGAAACAGGCCATGCATTGACCATGCACAGAACATAACAATGAACATTGTTTTGATCATGAAAACTAGGCATTGAAAACCACCTTGATTTCATTAAGCTTAAACTTAATTGTACCCTTTGCAAGGATTCCAGGCAAACATGCCTTCTGCAATGCTATATTTGGAGTGGGCATATGCACCAGATATATTGCTTCTGCTTTTTCCAAGGCTGTAATAACTACATGACAAGTTATATTTTTTAATACCTAAATTACTCCTGAGAAGAAAACTCTGTGCCAAAAAAACTAACAGCTTTAATTCTTCATATCAATGACATATAAAGTTATTAAATTACTATTAATTGACAGGCATTTAGCACATTGCATGGTTTTATTTTTTGAAGTTTGTTCTGTGTTTCTTCATACTTCCTCACATTCATATAATATTAAACCTGCACCACAAACACCAACATATGCCATTTAAAACATAAGTGAACTAGATACATCATTAATCTTATTATTCAGATTAGATGTAATGCAGCATATACTTATTTACTCATTTTTATTTACACTCCAAGTCCTTTCACAAAGAATTTAGACAGCCACATAAAAATTGTAGCATCTACAATATAAAAACTGAGAGCCAACAGTTTTTGTATTTTGGCAGATACTAAGTAATCTTAGTTAATTGTGGTAGACACAAACAGTGGTAGATACTAAGTAAAGCTACATTTTGCCATGGGTGATTGTATTTTAAAACTTTACCACATTGCTTTTAAAAAGCAATTTCTACTAAATAATAGAATCCTAGTGGGTATCTGAATCACCAATATAAATGGGGTTAATACATGCATGATGATATGGCTTAGCAAAATTTAGTTGCTAACACATTGTTAGCTGCTTACAGGGTTTATTTTAATAGCAGCTGGAAATATTAATGATGTTAAAAAGCAGTCATGAGGCCAAGCTGAGGCAGCTTAAAAGATTTGGCTCTCTCCACTTCATGCATAATTTTCATTAACCCTTAATGTTACCAAAGTAACCTACAATCTTAGTAAAAACATTTCCTATGTAAATCTTGCCTTAGCACCTTCTTTCAGATTGCCTCCATAAGCCCTTCCTATATAGAAACTTTGGAGCCACCACTAGGATTCTGCAAAATCAGAGGTTCAAATATGTCAGCCTCAGTTCAAATCTCTATTTACTCCCAAATCTCTCTGCTTTCAAAGAGTAACTAAAAGAAGAAAAGCACTTTGAAGTTAAAGAAAAAATAAAATTCTGGTAATTGAATTGTTGTGGGAGTGGAGAATGCATATTAAAATATTTGCTATAGACCAATATAAAGTCTAAGTAGAGAGAGGCATGAACTTAGTATAGATCCAAAAATCATTACTGATATAGGTCTAATATTGTGTTGGTGGTGTCTTTTTCAACAGCAACCTGTGTTTATGGTTTGAGTTGACTCAAGGTTTTGAAGTTGTTATGTACGTAAATACTTCTGTTGGAATTCCCTAACTTCTGTCCTTGGTCCATACTTCTTTTCATTCTATTCACTCTTCCTGGGTAATTTTTAATATTGTCATAATTGTAACTACATCCATATCCTGTTAACTACCAAAATCTGGGCATTTAATAGAAACTTCACACACATATGCAATCACTTCCTAGAATCTCCACTACGTATCCCATACATGTCTTCAATCTCGACCTGTCCAAAACTAAACTCCTGTTATCTTCTCTAAACCTATTCCTCCTCTTATAATTATTCCTTTGTTGGCACCCCATCCATCTGATCATCTGTGTTAGAAACTTTTAATCTTTTCTACCCCTTACCTCCCTATATCAATCAATCACCAAGTTCGGTCAATCTAACCTCCTAAATATTTTTAAATTCTTTTTGCTTCCCTGGGCTACATTGGCAGAAGAATTGTCTTGGGCCACACATAAAATACACTAACACTAACAATAGCTGATGACCTTTAAAAAATCGCAAAAAAATTATCTTAATGTTTTAAGAAATTTTAGAGTTTGTGTTGGGCCACATTCAAAGCCATCCTGGGCCACATTCAGTCCATGGGCCATGGATTGGACAAGCTTTATTTAAACTCTTAATGATTCCCTAAAGATTTGTGCACTACTTCCCAAAGTAATTCTCAGAACTCTGGCCCCAAAAGATTATCTCTGATAAGTGTTTAAGTGTTTCATGGTCAGAAACTGTATAGTATATTCCTGTTTTGGAGATTCACAATATGCATTAGCATATTTAAATTTTCAAGAGACTCTACATTAAAGAAGTCTTGTTGGTATGTTTTCCAAGCTTTTTCCCACAGAATTTTCCTGCTAGGAATAAATGATTCCATCAAGTATCTGCTAAGGAAAGCTCTTTAACATGTCATATGAAGCCTTCCATGATCTGGCTCTGCTGGATTCTTCAGCCATCATTCCCCTGACTCCACATGTCCCACTCTATTCTTTACTCCCACTGAAGCACTTTCTCAGCATTTGGCCCTAGCTGAAGCTGCTGCTTCCCCCTTCTATCATTCTTCAATACTTGTTTCAAAAGTCACTTCCTGCAGAAAACTTTTTCTAACCCTTCCTATATGTTTCCATAGCCTTCTCCATGCTTGCCTCTTTTATTATTACACTTACCACATTTTTACTGAAAGTAACTATTTAATGAATCTTTCTCTCCCCCTACCAAACCTCTTGAAGGAAGTGGTTATGTTTCTTTCGTCTTTGTACTTCCAGCATAAGCACATGCTATGGCCTGAATGTTTGTGATCCTCCCAGATTCATGTGTTGAAACTTAATCTCCAATGCAATGGTATTAAGAAGTGGGCCTCTGGGAGGGGTGATAGGTCGTGAGGGCTCTGTCTTTATAAATGGGATTAGTGCCCATATAAGAGGCTTGAGGAAACCTGTCTGCCCCTTCTGCACATGAGAACTCAGTGAGAAGACCATCTCTGAAGCACAGAGTGAGCCCTCACCAGGTAATAAATCTATTGGCACCTTTATCGTGGACTTCCCAGCTTCCATAACTGTGAGCAATAAATTTCTGTTGTTTAGAAATTAACCAGTCTATGGTATTTTTGTTATAACAGCCCAAACGAACTAAGACAGAGATATACTTGACATTTAGTAACGACTGAAATGAAATAAATAGTGCCTGGCTCATGTAGCAGGTACCCATAATTAAATGCCATGGACATTAGTTATTAATAAGTCATAAAAGGTTTTCCTCAACCATAAGCAACTATTTGAAAGTTTTTGAATATAAAATCAATGCGTCCAATTTTGACTTTATATCTCATGTATTCAATGAGTTCTTATAATCACCACAGTGCCTTCACAAATGTTGTGGTGCTCCTTTCACTTCTCTGATAGCACATACGATGTTGTTCTATAAATCTGAAAAGTTGCGGCATTTCATTGAGTTTATTTTTAAGCAAATATTTGAGATGGACAGAACTGAGTAGGCAAAGGAAAGAGGATGTGGTCAAGGATTCCCTGAATTGGTTCATAAAGGGATATAGTGAGGTAAATTAATGCTGACACAGTGCCCTCTGTCAAAACAGCCTGCTGGCCTAGGAAAATGATCACAAGCAGCATATGTGCTGGTTAGGGAAGAGAAAAGCAGTCCAGATGGCTGATTTTTAAGCAGCCAGACTTAGAAAGAAAAGGGGAAAATTTGTATCCAGGTCATTCCTAACTCTTCTCCTGGGAGATCATCTAAAGTTGTTGCTTTTAAGTTCCCAGGAATTCTGCCGATAAATACTCACTACCTCATTGTAAAGCTGTGAGCAACCCCTTAAAACTGGAGACTAGATGGATGTTTACTAAAAAGTATGCTAAAGTATCCTTTATTCCTCTTGCTTCTGTTCCCTTTTATGTCTCATCATCACTGATGATTTCTACTATACTTATGCAGAACAATTAACCCCATACTTACTGGTGATTTAGTGAGAGTTTGTGTATTTGGATCCTTTAATTTCTCTGGGTAAGTTAGCCTTTAATTTAAATACCTCTTTCAATCTTTAATGGATTCCTTCTACCATGAAATACAGGTATCTGCTGAAAAGGGCACCTCAATTACTCCCTCCAGCTGTGCAGAAAGGGTCCTTTTCTTGTCCAATGGCATATGATTTCTGAAAGAATCTCTTATTTTATAGCAATCACAGTGCTGAATTTCATCATGCCATTACTTATGCAATTGAAAACAGACTGCTATGTGTTCTCATAAAGACACTTTGTGAGAATTTTAACCCTATGAATTCCAAAACTGTGAGAGGATTTTAAAAAATTGAACAGCACTGGCTCTGGTCCCCTGGGACATCAAGAGTACTCATAAAAATTAGAGTCTCTCCTAGACTACCTGGATATGGGTTGTTGCTGTGCCCTGATTGCTCTTTTCTAAACCTATATATTAGCAAGACTTTATTAAGAAAAAAAAATCTGTTTTTTTCTTTATAAAACAAGAGAAAAGCATAATAGACAACAGAAGGCAGACAGAGCAATTCCTTTTTTTCTCTCTTTTCAATTCCTTCTCTTTTTTTCCTTAATTTATGTGAGATCTGAGATCCTAAGGATACTATCTGTACCTTCACATTGTACTCAGTCATTTTATATGTAACTCATCCTTTTACATGTTTACTTTGATACTATCTCCAATCCTATACCCAAAATGTTTATATCTCCAAAATAATAATGGAAATCTTTCCATTCTGATTTTGAGATGGAAAATTTATGCAAATGTATATTAAGTACATAGTTCTTTTTGTGTGGGGTATTTTTTTCCTCCATTCAAAATTGTAATCTTGTATGATTTTGCAAACTATTATAATTCCCTCCCCCCACCATTTAAAAGTCATTATCATTTTCTATCTCTAGAATTTCTGGCACCCATTTCCATTCCAAGCTATTAGGTTGCTTTTGAAGTGATGTCCCACTGCATCTTCCTGGCATATATGTCTAAACTTGTATTTATTTTACTTCTCTGTTCTTGTTCACATTGACAATGCCTCCGAAATTAGGTCACCAATGGATTTCATTATCTTGCCCTTTGCCTTCTTTGAGTCAAGATATGGAATAAAACATCCAATAAAGTAAATGTGACCTTATCCTGACTCCTATAACACTCAACCAGGCATCTTCACACAACAGACTCATTCTTTGTCTATGGCTAAGAAATATTGCCCAAATCAGTTGAAGTCAGATTTTAAATGATACACATCATCCCATATCAAAAAATGCCGCAGGGCCAGGTGCAGTGGCTCATGCCTATAATCCCAGCACTTTGTGAGGCTGAGGAGGGCGGATCACTTGAGGTCAGGAGTTCGAGATAGGGCTGGCTAACATGGTGACACGCTGTCTCTACTAAAAATACAAAGATTAGTCAGGCATGGTGGTGTGCACCTGTAGTCCCAGCAACTCAGGAGGCTGAGGCAGAAGAATCGCTTGAACCTGGGAGGCGGAGACCGCAGTGAGCCCAGATCACGCCACTGCACTCCAGCCTGGGCAACAGAGCAAGACTCTGTCTCAAAACAACAAAAAAGCCTCACAGCCCAGATAAGCAAAATCTACATTACCTTCTTTTGTTCAACAATTTTAGGGAGAAAATTATTTAGTATAGTTGACACAATCCACTTTTTATAAAAGACAACATGGCTTGCAATTCCATTCCATTTAATGTTTACACATTTTCTCCCAGTGGTTGATGTGAGACTTGCTAGGATTTTTCTTTTCTTTGCTTGCTTGTTTTTTTGCCTTGCTTTGTTTCATGTATTTATGGGCTTTGAAGGTGTGTATCTAATACCTGGACTTGGGACAACTTTATATTGTGGAAAATCCATTAGATCAGCTAAGAGACCTGGGTTTTTATCTAGTTATAATCTTGGTTAAGTCAACCAAGTTATCAAGACTTAATTTTTTTTACCTGTACAATAAAGGCATTAGATTTGGATTTATTGTATCTGTATGTGTTCTGACTTTATGAGTGCATTTTAAAAACTTACCTTCCTTTGGACTGGTCTCCTAGGACAAGACTGAACAGGGGCTACCAATGCAAATTGACTTAGGGGCCTTTGAAAGATCCATTTACCACAAAGCATCCACAAACCTCTGCCTTCTTCCTCATTTGGCTTTAAATTCCATCTTAAAGAGTTGTCAGCATGTATGAAAGCCAAGGAAGAGGTAAAGTCTCCAGAAGGCCCAGATTAACTATTATGTATATTTTCCCTGGGGATGGTTTACTTACCATGTCCCTTTACTGGGGGTTAATTTCTTCAACTACTGAAGTGACTGAAATTTGAAGGTATGAAGGGCAAAATAATAAACATACCTTGTATAGGTAAAGAACTTTAAACCTTACAAGGGATTTTGACTTCTATCTCAATGAAGGAACAAGCAACCAAGAACCACAAAAATCACTGGCCACTGACAAATGACACTTCAAGAGGAATACAGGCTTAATAGCTGCGAACACAGGTTCGTTGAACAAATGAATAATTTTGAATGATTCTTGCATCTCCATTTGGTATTGTCCTTCCTTTTTCTTCTTTTTTCTTTCACTTCTACCCACCTACCAACCTCACAAAGTGTCCAGTACCTCACCCTAGAATAGGTGATACCTCTAGGATACCTCACCATAGAATTCTGACTAGAATTAACCCTACACAGTCAGCTCTATAACTGTAGAGTATTACCCACACCACCAAAATATTCTTCATCAGAATGTCCTGAGTTTGATACAGTAATCCATGCTTATATGTCAATGGATGCTCCCCTCCTGGATCAAATAAGGTAGGTTTCATAGGAAGAGAGACAATAGAGCTTTAAACAAATGGAGTTGACTTACAAAAATTTTAACGTCCAATGCAGCCAGTGAGGGAGATCCTTTGAGGCATTTAGGAACCTGTAGCAATCTTTAAATCATAACAGAATAGAAAAGAAGACCTACGAATAGAATAGGCTTACTATATTGAATAATATGTAAATTCATATACCTTTCACCATACCTTGCCTTCTTACCTTCTATCCTCCAAATTTGTCAAACTGAAGACATTAAAGTTGGTAAATATATTTATGACAATTAGTCTTACTACTATGATTAACTAGTTTCAGATTCTGACCAGCGCTTATATAACATAACTCCCCAATCCTGAATTTTCTCATTGTGCTATTCGTCTGATTACAAAAGAAAATATATTTTTGTAAAAATTTAGAAAATATAGAAAGTTTAAATAAGAAAATGGCAGTAAATCAAACGCATAATCCAAATAGCCAGAAAGAACCATTATTAATATCTAGATATATTTCTTCTCAGTCTTTCCCTAAAAACTATAATTATAAAAATATATACACATATAATATATACTTGCCTAATTTAATCAATATCCTAAAAATAAACGTTTATCTGTCCTACATATGTAACATAGTTTATGTAATAATTTTCCTGTTCTTAGACATTTAAATTATTTCAAAATTTTAATTATAAGAAACAGTGAGCAAAACATGATGATATAAGAAATTTTATTATCATCTCTACTTATTTCCATAAAAAATCCTGTAAATGCAACTATTGGGTAACAGAATATAAATATTTCAAGACTTCTCATAGTTTACTAAAATTACACTCAAACAGTAGAAATAGTAAATATGTGGGTAAGTATATAAATAACAAATATATGTATATGTTTCTTTCCTTATTGAAAACACATATGACTGTTTAAAGCAAAAAAGTATGACACTTCGCTCTCCTTCTCCCTCTCCCTCTCCCTCTCCCTCCCCCTCCCCCTCCCTCTCCCTCTCCCTCTCCCTCTCCCTCCACGGTCTCCCTCTGATGCCGAGCCAAGGCTGGACGGTACTGCTGCCATCTCGGCTCACTGCAGCCTCCCTGCCTGATTCTCCTGCCTCAGCCTGCCGAGTGCCTGCGATTGCAGGCGCGCACCGCCACGCCTGACTGGTTTTCGTTTTTTTTTGGTGGAGACGGGGTTTCGCTGTGTTGGCCGGGCTGGTCTCCAGCTCCTAGCCGCGAGTGATCCGCCAGCCTCGGCCTCCCGAGGTGCCGGGATTGCAGATGGAGTCTCGTTCACTCAGTGCTCAATGGTGCCCAGGCTGGAGTGCAGTGGCGTGATCTCGGCTCGCTGCAACCACCTCCCAGCCGCCTGCCTTGGCCTCCCGGAGAGCCGAGATTGCAGCCTCTGCCCGGCCGCCACCCCGTCTGGGAAGTGAGGAGCGTCTCTGCTTGGCCACCCATCGTCTGGGATGTGAGGAGCCCCTCTGCCTGGCTGCCCAGTCTGGAAAGTGAGGAGCGTCTCTGCCCGGCCGCCATCCCATCTGGGAAGCGAGGAGCGCCTCTTCCCCGCCGCCATCCCATCTAGGAAGTGAGGAGCGTCTCTGCCCGGCCGCCCATCGTCTGAGATGTGGGGAGCACCTCTGCCCCGCCGCCCTGTCTGGGATGTGAGGAGCGCCTCTGCTGGGCCGCAGCCCTGTCTGGGAGGTGGGGAGCGTCTCTGCCCGGCCGCTCCGTCTGAGAAGTGAGGAAACCCTCTGCCTGGCAACCGCCCCGTCTGAGAAGTGAGGAGCCCCTCCGTCCGGCAACCACCCCGTCTGGGAAGTGAGGAGCGTCTCCGCCCAGCAGCCACCCCGTCCGGGAGGGAGGTGGGGGGGGTCAGCCCCCCGCCCGGCCAGCCGCCCCGTCCGGGAGGTGAGGGGCTCCTCTGCCCGGCCGCCCCTACTGGGAAGTGAGGAGCCCCTCTGCCTGGCCAGCCGCCCCATCCGGGAGGGAGGCGGGGGGGGGGTCGGCCAGCCGCCCCGTCCGGGAGGGAGGTGGGGGGGTCAGCCCCCCGCCCGGCCAGCCGCCCCGTCCGGGAGGTGAGGGGCTCCTCTGCCCGGCCGCCCCTACTGGGAAGTGAGGAGCCCCTCTGCCCGGCCAGACGCCCCGTCCAGGAGGGAGGTGGGGGGGTCAGCCCCCCGCCGGGCCAGCCGCCCAGTCCGGGAGGGAGGTGGGGGGTCAGCCCCCCGCCCGGCCAGCCGCCCCGTCTGGGAGGGAGGTGGGGGGATCAGCCCCCCGCCTGGCCAGCCGCCCCATCCGGGAGGTGAGGGGCGCCTCTGCCCGGCCGCCCCTACTGGGAAGTGAGGAGCCCCTCTGCCCGGCCAGCCGCCCCGCCCGGGAGGGAGGTGGGGGGGTCATCCCCCCACCTGGCCAGCCGCCCCATCCGGGAGGGAGGTGGGGGGGTCAGCCCCCCGCCCGGCCAGCCGCCCCGTCCGGGAGGGGGGAGGGGGGGTCAGCCCCCTGCCCGGCCAGCCGCCCCGCCCGGGAGGGAGGTGGGGGGGGTCAGCCCCCCGCCTGGCCAGCCGCCCCGTCCGGGAGGGAGGTGGGGGGATCAGCCCCCCGCCTGGCCAGTCGCCCCGTCCGGGAGGTGAGGGGCGCCTCTGCCCGGCCGCCCCTACTGGAAAGTGAGGAGCCCCTCTGCCCGGCCAGCCGCCCCGTCCGGGAGGGAGGCGGGGGGGGGGGGGTCGGCCAGCCGCCCCGTCCGGGAGGGAGGTGGGGGGGGGTCAGCCCCCCTTCCGGCCGGCCGCCCCGTCCGGGAGGTGAGGGGCGCCTCTGCCCGGCCGCCCCTACTGGGAAGTGAGGACCCCTCTGCCCGGCCAGCCGCCCCGTCCGGGAGGGAGGTGGGGGGGACAGCCCCCGGCCCAGCCAGCCGCCCTATCCAGGAGGTGAGGGGCGCCTCTGCCCGGCCGTCCCTACTGGGAAGTGAGGAGCCCCTCTGCCTGGCCAGCCGCCCCGTCCGGGAGGGTGGTGGGGGGGTCAGCCCCCCGCCCGGCCAGCCGCCCCATCCGGGAGGTGAGGGGCGCTTCTGCCCGGCCGCCCCTACTGGGAAGTGAGGAGCCCCTCTGCCCGGCCACGACCCCGTCTGGGAGGTGTGCCCAGCGGCTCATTGGGGATGGGCCATGATGACAATGGCGGTTTTGTGGAATAGAAAGGCGGGAAGGGTGGGGAAAAAATTGAGAAATCGGATGGTTGCCGGGTCTCTGTGGATAGAAGTAGACATGGGAGACTTTTCATTTTGTTCTGTACTAAGAAAAATTCTTCTGCCTTGGGATCCTGTTGATCTGTGACCTTATCCCCAACCCTGTGCTCTCTGAAACATGTGCTGTGTCCACTCAGGGTTAAATGGATTAAGGGCGGTGCAGGATGTGCTTTGTTGAACAGATGCTTGAGGGCAGCATGCTCGTTGAGAGTCATCACCACTCCCTAGTCTTAAGTACCCAGGGACACAAACACTGCGGAAGGCCAAGGCCGCAGGGTCCTCTGCCTAGGAAAACCAGAGACTTTTGTTCACTTGTTTATCTGCTGGCCTTCCCTCCACTATTGTCCTATGACCCTGCCAAATCCCCCTCTGCGAGAAACACCCAAGAATGATCAATAAAAAAAAAATAAATAAATTAAAAAAAAAAAAAAAAAAAGTATGACACTTCACTAATATTAATGGGTTTATAACAAATGTAGATGTAATATATATGACAATAATAGCACTAAGGAGAAGGGGTAAATGGAATTTGCTCTTGTGAGTTTTCTATATTTCATCTGGACTAATTCAATATAACTAGGTAGACTGGGATTAGCTAAGGATCCACTTTGTAAACACTAGAAAAAGTAAAAAATAATGAAAAATGTAGCTACAAAGTCAACAGAGAAATTAAAATGGAATATGAAAAAATATTTGATTAACATAAAAGGAAGAAAATGAGGAACAAAAAACCAAAAAAATTTGGTAAGACAAATAGATAATAAACAGCAAAATGGCAGAGCTTTAAATACAATCATATCAATAAGTATATCAAATGCAAATAAACTAAACTCTCCAATCACAAAGCAGAAACTGTTAGAGTGGATAAAAAGTAAGCACCAACTACATGATGTCTACATGAGATGCACTTCTAATACAAATAGAATAAAAATTTTACAGATGGAGGAAGGTATACCATGCAAACAATAACCACAAGAGAGGAGTTGTTGTATTAGTATTAGACAAAATAGACCTCAAGAAAATGAGTTATTACTAGAGACAAAAGGAAATACTTCATAAAGCATCAATATATAAGGAAGATATGACAATTATGAATGTGTATGTAAGCCACAATGGATGGTGACTTCACAGTGAAAACTCTTTATTTTAGGGAAGAAGGAATATGAATGTTGGGTAGACAACTAGGCTTTTCTGCCACAGGCAGATTATTTATCCTCTCTGTAAAATAGATAACATTTTATAGGATTGTTGTGAGGATTAAATGACTGCCCACAGTAGGCACTTAATCATATGGGTTATTGTTGATGCTGTTACTATTATCTTGTGGTAGACTGCATCTATGAGCAAAAGCTCAGCTAAAATTAAGTTGTCCCTCTATATAGGGAAAAGAATCCCTGAAGAAGGGGTGAAGTAAGTAGAATGTCCACCCAAACGTCATTTTGGGATCAGAGTGGGCCCTGACTCCAGGAGAAGAAAAAAGTATTATAGAGAGTTGGTGGGGTGGATGGCCCTTGCTTGGTATGGGGACGGGGGTGCTAAAGGGAATTTGGATCTGGGAAGAAACTAGACAGAAGACTTGCATAATGAAAATATTGTTTACTGTGTGTAATGAAATGTTGCCTTCTCCTCCATCTGTCATAAAAAAAAATTCAGCAAAATCCATATTGCTCACCAAACTGGTTAGGATAAAGTTCAGGAGACAGTAACAGAAACTCTAATGAACAGTCATATACAAGACAGATGCTTCTTTCTCTCTTGTATAAGAGAAATCAAGAGACAGCTCAGGGCTGATATGGTGGCTCTACAGTAATCAAAGGGCTGAGGTCCTTCCAGTTTTCTGCTCTGTTATGCTTTAGGTGTGGCTCTTGTCCCCTTGATCCAATATGAATTTTGGAGCATCAGTCACCACATCTACATTTCGAGCAGCAAGATGGGAGAGAGGAAAGAATAGGTACACACTCCTTCCTTTTCAAAAAGATTTTTCCAGAAATACCACACAATATTTCCACTTAAAGGTGAGCTGTAGGCTAGGAAATGTAGTCTTTTAGCTGAAAAACAATATATCCAAATAAAAATCTGGGTTCTCTTATTGAAGAAGGTGAGAATGGATGTGAGAAAACCAAGCACTCATCAATACTTATAGATTTTATTTATAAATGTGTTATTTGCATATTTTTATGTGTAGACAAAAGATGTGCATAATAGATCGGTCTATTGAATGCAAGGTGAAAGACTGTCAATGTGAGTCAGTTTAACAAGAGTTACATCATAAAAAAAGCTTCCCTCCTTTCTTATTACATTATTATTACAGTTATAAACTAACATTTAATTATTCCACGTAAGTTTGCATCTTACTCTTAGGTCTTCAATTAGACTTTGCTTCAAGGAAGGTTTGGCAGGCCTACAGCTCTAGTATTGGCCAGAGGGTGCAGAAGGAACAGACTGTGTAAATACATTACTATAGTACAACAACAAATTTTTTATATATTAGTGAATTAGATCCTTAACTATGGCCCCCTCACCCAGCCTAATGTTACCAAGGTCTGTAGTTTTGAACCCCTTTGATCTTATTCCTCATGGGCTGCCTCAATTACCGAACTTGGGCATTTGTCAAGTACAAGGAAGCATTAAAGAGCTGCATCTATTCACTTACATGCTTATTTGGTGTACATATCCCTTGCACTGCTTGTTTGGTACTTTAGTAGTAAACTAAATGATAGTAGACTTGAACTGACAGAGTCAACATTCGCATCAATCTTTCTGCCTGGATTGGACTTTATAAGCTGGCCCATATCAAAAGGATATTACTATGCCATATATATATATATCTCCAATAGTTTTCCTATGCTCTCTTTCCCATTGCGTATTTCTACCTTTAGGCCAGACCAACCCAAACATCTATGACCAGTCAAAAAAGAAAAGCTGATGGTATTTCATCTCTGGTCAATGCCTCTCTTCAAAGCCATTTCCTGGTATAATCCATCCTTTAATTCATCAAATATACATTCAGTATTGACTATGTACCAGGCACTGTGCCTAGTATTAGGAATATAGCAAAGAACAGATACTTAAAGTTCTTCTCAGAAATGCCTTACCTGCTGGGCATGGTGGCTCACACCTGTAATCCCTTCACTTTAGGAGGATGAGGTGGGAGGATCACTTGAGTCCAGAAGTTTGAGACCAGCCTGGGCAACATAGAAAGACCCTATCTCTACAAAAATGAAAAAATTAGTTGGGCATGGTGGCTTGCACCTGTAGTCCCAGTTTTTCAGGAGGCTGAGGTGGGACGATTTCTTGAGGCTGGGAGGTGGAGGCACTACTGCACTCCGGCCCAGGTGACAGCACAAGACCTTGTTTTTTTGTTGTTGTTTGTTTTTAAAAAAAAGCCTTTCCTGATAGTAGTTACCTCAACCACTGAGTATTCTCTCTCTCTGCCTCATTCTATTCGTAACATCTTTTAGAAATCTGTCATTTAATTTATTTTTAGCCTTACCACAGTTCCATATGGGCAGGGAAATTCTGTACTTTTCACCATCATATCTCCAGTGCCTTGCACAGTGTGATACATAAACACTTAAATATTTGATTCATTAACATAATAGACCCTCAACACATACATCTGATGTTTCTAATTGGAGCTCAGAATTTAGAATAAAGAAATTTCCCCAAAAAAAGCCTTGAGAAAAATTTAATAATTGAATCATTAAATTAGTAAATCAAACCACCATTTTCCATGATTCTAATAACTAGTATATATTTTATACAAAATAAGTCAATTGTTTTCTCCAGCATTATTGAGGTATAATTGACAAATAAAAAATGAATATATTTAAGGTATACAAGGTGATATTTTGATACATGTATATTGTGAAATGATTACTGCAATCAAGTTAATTAGCATATCCATTACCTCACATAGTTACCTGTTGTGTGTGTATGTGGTGAGAACATTTAAGATCCGTCTTAGCAAATTTCACATATATAATAGTGTCTTATTAACTGTAGTCACCATGTTGGACATTAAATCTCCAAAACTTATTCATCCTGCATAAGTGAAACTCTGTACCCTTCACCAACATCTTCCCATTCCTCCTACCTCCTAGCTCCTGGCAAACACCATTTTACTTTCTGCCTCTAGTTCTACCTTTTTAGATTTCACATGTACGCGAGATCACACAGTATTTGTCTTTGTGTGCCTGACTCATTTCACTTAGTAAAATGTCCTCCAAGCTCATCCATGTTGTCCCAAAAGACAAGATTTCCTTTTTTTTGAGACGGAGTCTTGCTCTGTCGCCGAGGCTGGAGTGCAGTGGCGCGATCTCAGTTCACTGCAACCTCCGCCTCCCAGGTTCAAGCGATTCTCCTGCCTCAGCCTCCTGAGTAGCTGGGACTACAGATGCGTACCACCACGCCCGGCTAATTTTTTGTATTTCTAGTAGAGCTAACACAGGGTCTCACCATGTTGCCCAGGCTGGTCTCAAACTCCTGACCTCATGATCTGCTCGCCTCAGCCTCCCAAAGTGCTGGGATTACAGGTGTGAGCCACTGCACCTGGCCCAATATTTCCTTTTTTAAGGCTGGCTAATATTCCATTGTGTGTGTGTGTGTGTGTGTGTGTGTGTATCACATTTTTTCCATTCATCCATTGATGGGCACTATGTTGATTCCACATCTTGGCTATTGTGAATAATGCTGCAGTGAACATGGGAGTGCACATACCTCTTAACATACTGATTTCATTTCCTTTGGATACATACCCAGAAGTGGAATTGCTGAATCATATGGTAGTTCTATTTCTGTTTTTTTTTTTTTTTTTTTTTTTTTTTGAGAAGGCTCCATACTATTTTCCATAATGGCTATACCAATTTACATTGCCAACAACAATGCACAAGGGTTTCCTTTTCTCCACAGCCTCACCAACACTTGCTATCTTTTGTCTTTTTTATATTAACCATTCTAACGGGTGTGAGGAGACATCTCATTGTGTTGTTTTTGAGGCATGGTCTCGCTCTGTCACCCAGGCTGGAGTGCAGTGGCATGATCTTGGCCTATTGCAACCTCCACCTCCCGGGTTCAAGCAATTCTCATGCCTCAGCCTCCCAAGTAGGTGGGATTACAGGCATGCACCACCATGGATGGCTAATTTTTGTATTTTTAGTGGAGTCAGGGTTTCACCATGCTTGCCAGGCCGGTCTCCAAATCCTGGCCTCAAGTGATCCACCTGCCTCAGCCTCCCAGACTGCTAGAATTACATGCTTGAGCCACTGTGCCGAGCCTCACTGTGGTTTTAATTTGCATTTTGCTGATAATTAGTGGTGTTGAGAATTTTTTCATATACCTGCTAGCCATTTGCACATCTTCTTTTGAGAAATGTCTGTTCAAGTCCTTTTACTTCTTTAATTGGATTATTTACTTTCCTGCTACTGATTTGTTTGAGTTCCTTATATAATTCAGATATTAATGCTTTATTTGAGGCATAGTTTGGAAATACTTTCTCCTGTTCCATAGGTTGTCTCTTCACTCTATGTCCTTCCTTTCATGTCCAGAAGCTTTCTGGTTTAATATAACCCTATTTGACTATTTTTGCTTTTGTTGCCTGTGCTGTGTCATATCAAAAAAATCAGTACCCAGACCAATACCAAGAATTTCTCCCTCATGTTTTCTTTTTCTTCCAGTATTTTTATAGTTTCAGGTCTTACATTTAAGCTTTAATCCATTTTGACTTGATTTTTGCATATGAAGTGACATGAGTACAATTTCATTTTTCTGCATGTGAATATATGGTTTCCATACCACTACTGATTAGAGACTGTCTATTCCCCCACTGTGTTTTCTTGGCACCTTTGTCAAAGATCAATTGACTGTAAGTGCGTGGATTTATTTCTGAGCTCTCTATTCTGTTCAATTGGCCTATGTGTTTTTGTGCCTGGACCACGCTGTTTCGATTATTATAGTTTTATAGTATATTTTGAAATTAGGTAGCATGATGCCTCCAGCTTTGTTCTTGCTCAAGATTGCTTTGGCTAGTTGCGATCTTTTATGGTTACTTACAAATTTTAGGATAGCTTTTCTATCTGTGAGAAATGCCATGGGAATTTTGAGAGTGATTGCACTGAATCTTTAGGTTTATATGAGTAGTATGGACATTTTAACATTATCGATTCTTCCAATCCATGAAAATAGAATATCTTTCCATTTATCTGTGTCTATTTCAGTTTCTTTCATCAATGTTTGAGAGTTTTCAGTATACAAATCTTTTGCCTCCCTGGTTAAATGTATTTGAAGTATTTCTTTATGCTATTGTAAATAGGATTATCTTCTTAATTTCCTTCTCAGTTCATTGTTAGTGTATAGAAACACAACTTATTTTTGTATTTGATTTTGTATCTTGCAGCTTACTGAATTCATTTATTAGCTGTAACAGTTCTTTGGTGAAGTCTTTAGGGTTTTCTATATACAAGATTATGTCATCTGTAAACAGAGACTGTTTTACTTCTTCCAATTTGAATGCCTTTTCTTTTTCTTGCCTAATTGCTCTAGCTAGGATTTCCAGTAGTATTTTGAATAGAAGTGACAAGAGTGGGTTTTCTTGTCTTTTATATCTTTTTCTTGCCTAATTGCTCTAGCTAGGACTTCTAGTAGCATGCTGAATAGAAGTGAGAAGAGTAGGTTTTCTTGTCTTGCTCCTCATCTTAGAGGAAAAGCTTTTAGCTTTCCACCATAGAGTATTATATTGGCTCTAGGCTTGTGATGTATGGCCTTTCAGGCACATTCCTCCTATAGCTAATGTTGAGAATTTTTAATCATGAAAGGATGTCGAATTTTGTCAAATGCTTTTTTTTTTTTTTGCATCTATTGAACTGAACATATGATTGTCCTTCATTTGGTTATTGTGGTGTATCACATTTATTGATTTGCATGTGTTGAACTACCTTTGCAGCCCAGAGATAAATCCACTTGATTGTGGCGTATGATCCTTTTAATGTGTAATTGAATTCAGTTTGCTGGTATTTTGTTAAGGATTTTTGCATCTATGTTCATCATGGATATTGGCTTATAATTTCTTTTCTTATAGTGTCCAACTATCTAGCTTTGGTGTCAAGGTAATGCTGTTCTCATGATGTAAGTGCTCCCTGCTCTTGAATTTTTAAGGGTTTGAAAACAATTGGCATTAATTTTTGTTTAAATGTTGGGTAGAATTAACCAATAAAGCCATCAGATCCTGGGTTTTTCTTTTTGGGAGGTTTTTTTGATTATCAATTCAATCTTCTTGCTTATCATTTGTCTGTTCAGATTTTCTATTTCTTCATTATTCGGCCTTGGTAAATTTTATGTTTCTAGAAATTTATCTATTTCTTCTAAGTTATCCAATTGTTGGCATATAATTTTCATAGCTGTCTCTTATGATTCCTCATATTTCAGTGATATCAGTTATAATATCTCCTCTTTCAATTATAATTGTTTGTTTTGAGACAGGGTCTCACTACATTGTTTAGGCTGGCCTAAAACTCCTGGGTTCAAGAGATCCTCCCACCCCAGCCTCCTGAGTAGGTGGGGTTACAGCTGCACAACAGTGTGCCTGGCTTTTTTCAATTTTTGTTCTTTCATTTATAATTTAATATTTTGAGTCTTCTCTCTTTTTTTATTAGTCTAGCTAAAGTTTGTCAATTTTGCTTATATTTAAAAAAACTCAACTCTTAGTTTCCTTGATCTTTTGTAATATTTCTAGTCTGTTTCACTTATTTCTGCTTGGATTTGTATTTTCTTTCCTTCTGCTAACTTCAGCCTTAATTCATTCTTCTTTTTCTAGTTCCTTGAGATATAAAGATAGGTTGTTTATTTGAGATCTTTCTTTTTTCTTAAGTAGGCATTTATTGTTATAAACTTCCCTCTTAGGACTGCTTTTGTTGCATCCAGTAAGTTTTGTTATATTGTGGTTTTGTTTTCATTTGTCTCAAGATATTTTTCATTTCTCTTTTTTTTTTTTTTTTGAGATGGAGTTTCACTCTTGTTGTCCAGGCTGGAGTGTGGTAGCGCGATCTTGGCTCACTGCAACCTCTGCCTCCTGGGTTCAAGTGATTCTCCTGCCTCAGCCTCCCGAGTAGCTGGGATTACAGGTGCCTGCCTCCATGCTTGGCCAATTTTTGTATTTTTCGTAGAGACGGAATTTCATCATGTTGGCCAGGCTGGTCTCGAACTCCTGACCTCAGGTGATCCACCCACCTCAGCCTCCCAAAGTGCTGGGATTACAGGCACCTGGCCTTTTATTTTTCTTTTGAAGACTTCTTTGACCTATTGGTTATTCGAGTGTATGTGGTCTAATTTACACAAATTTGTGTATTTTCTAATTTTCTTCCTGTTGTTTTCCTAACATTTTACAGCATTTCATAACATTGTCGTTGAAAAAGATATTGATAATTATTTCAATCTTTTTAAATTTGTTAAGACTTGTTTTACAGCCTAACATATGATCTATCCTTGAGAAAGTTTCACGTACACTTGAAAAGAATGTGTATTCTGTTGCTGTTGGATGGAATGTCCTGTACGTATCTGTTAGATCCATTTGGTTTATATTATACTGTATTTCAAGTCCACTGTTTCCTTATCAATATTCTGTCTGGATGATCTATATCTATCCATTTTTGAAAGTGAGGTATTGAAGTACTCTACTATTATTATATTGCTTTCTATTTCTCTGTTCAGTTAATATTTGCTAAATATGTAGGTACACCAATGTTGAGTGCATAGTATTCATAATTGTTATATCCTCTTGATAGACTGATCTCTTTACTATGATATAATTAGCTTCTTTGTCCTTGTGAAAGTTTTTGACTTAAAGTATATTTTGTCCAATATAAGTATAACCACTGCTGTTCACCCTTGGTTACCATTTGCATGGAATATCTTCTTTTTCTATCCCTTCACTTTCAGCCTATGTGTGTCCCTAAAGCTTAAGTGAGTATCTGGTAGGTAGCATATAATTGAATCTTGTTTTCCTTTTATCCATTCAGCCACTCTATTGTTGAAGAACTGAATCCACTTACAATTAATTATTGATAGGAAGAACTTAATATTGCCATTTTGTTAATCATTTAAATCTGTTTTGTAGTTCCTTTGTTCCTTTCTTTCTCTCTTGCTGACTTCTTTTGTGATTTAAGGATTTATTTATTTTTATTTTTATTTTTATTCTTTTTTTGAGATGGAGTCTCGCTCTGTTGCCCAGGCTGGAGTGCAGTGGTGCGATCTCGGCTCACTGCAAGCTCTGCCTCCCAGGTTCATGCCATTCTCCTGCCTCAGCCTCCCGAGTAGCTGGGACTACAGGCGTCCGCCACCATGCCCAGCTAATTTTTTGTATTTTTAGTAGAGACGGGGTTTCACCATGTTAGCCAGGATGGTTTCGATATCCTGACCTCATGATCTGCCCGCCTCGGCCTCCCAAAATGCTGGGATTACAGGCGTGAGCCACTGTGCCCAGCCTAATGATTTATTTTTGTAGTGGTGTGCTTTGATTTCGTCTTCTTTATCTTTTATTTACTACAGACTTTTCTTGTGTGTGGTTACCATAAGGCTTACATAAAACATCTTATAACAGTCTATTTGGATCTAATAACAACTTAACTTCAACCACATACAAAACTCTACACTTTTAACTTCTCCTCCTCTCACATTTTATGTACTGGTGTCACAATTTGCATGTTTTATATAATGTGTATCCACTAACAAATTATTGTTGCCATATTTATTTTTAACACTCACGACTTTTAACTTTTTACTAGAGTTATTTATGTACTATCATTACCATCATTAGTATTAGAGTATTCTGAATTTGACTGTATTCTTACCTTTACAGTTTTATACTTCTATGTTTTTATATTATGTCATTTTTAAAAATTTTTCACAGCTTCAGCTTCTAGAAAGTTAGTGTCATTTTGTTTCAACTTGAACTCCCTTTACAGTTTTTGTAAGGTATGTCTAGTGGTGATGAACTCCCACAGCTTTTGTTTGTCTGAGAAAGTCTTTATCGCTCCTTCATTTCTGAAGGAAAGATTTACCAGGGGTAGCATTCTTGGTTTTCAGGTTTTTTTTTTTCTTTCAGCACTTTAAATATGTCATTCCACTCTCTCAAGATCTGCAAGGTTTCTGCTGAGAAATTCACTGACCATCTCATATGGGTTCCATTGCATGTGACGTGTCTTTCCTCGCTGCTTTCAAAATAATCTTTGTCTTTGGCTTTTGAGAATTTGATTATAATGTGTCTTGGGGTAGATCTCTTTATATTTAATATATTTGGGGTTCTTCGAGCTTCATGAATCTGGACATTCATTTCCCTCTCCAGATTTGGGAAGTTTTCTGCTACTATTTCTTAAAATAAGCTTTCTCCCCTTTTCTTTTTCTACTCCTTCCAGAAAACTTACACACAAATATTGTTTTACATGATGGTGTTCTCTAAGTCCCATAGGCTTTCTTCACTCTTTATCATTCTTTTTCCTCTGCTCTAATTTCAAATGACCTGTTTTCAGTCTCACTGGTTCTTTCTTCTGACTGATCAAATCTGTTGTTAAATCTATCTATGGAATTTTTCAGTTCAAGCATTGTGTTCTTCAGCTCCAGAATTTTTAAATGCCTTCTCTTTGTTGAACTCATTTCCTTATGTATTGTTTTCCTGATAATTGTTTAGTTGTCTAGCTGTGTTCTCTGGGAGCTTACTAAGTTTCTTGAAGACAATTATTTTCAATTCTTTGTCAGGCAGTTTTATTTGTAATCCTTGTGGTGTTGTGTTGGTGTTTGTCTATTTGGAGAAGTAGGAACCTCTTAACCAGGCACAGAAGTCCCAGCTACTCAGGAGGCTAAGGCAGGAGGATCACCTGAGCCCAGGAGTTTGGGGCAGCAGTGTGCTATGATTGTGCCTATGAATATCCACTATACTCCAGCCTGGCAACATAGTAAGACTCTGTCTCTAAAAAATAAAATATAATTTTTAAAAAGAAGCAGGCAGCTTTTCCCATCTTTACAGACTGGCTTTGGCAGGGAAAGTCCTTTACCAGTCAGACCATCCAGAGATTCTTGGTGAGCCATTTAGTGGGGTCTGCTTGCAAGCTTGCTGTTGGAATCCTCAGGCAGGCTGGTCTGGTGGCTAGGTCCACTTGGCTGAGTCTGGCTCATGGGTCCAGTGGGGCAGGCGTTGAACCCGAATCTAGGTGGTTAGGCTTGGATCTTGGGTTCACAGAGGCCAGCCTAGTGCTGGACTCCACTGGGTTGGGCCTAGAGATTGGGCCTGCATGGGTAGGCATGCATAGGTAGGCTGAAACCTGTGTCTACAGGGGCCAGCCTAAAGCCCGAGTCCATGAGGGAAAACCTGTTGCTAGGGGAGGCCTGGTGCCTGGGTCCATGGAGATGGGCCTGGTCCTGAGTTTACAGGAGCTGACCTAGCACCAGGGTTCAGTGGGGTGCCCTGGCACCTGGGTCCATGGTAGTGGGCCTGGAGGCTGAGTCCATGCGGGCAGGCTTTGGTCTTGGGTTGATGGGGTCCAGTCTGGAGCTTGGGTCTTTGAGGGCTGGACTAGTATCAAATTCTACTGGGGTGGGCCTGGAACCTAGATATTCTGGAGCATAGGGCCACAGGGGGCAGTCTGGAGCCTGGGACCATGGGAGCTGGCTTGGTGCTAGGATGGGACTAGAGCCTGAGTCTGCAGGGGGTGGGTTGGTGCAGTGGTAGGGCATTTTCACCCACTAATATTTTAACAAGAATTAACACATTACATCATCAACATAGGTTATTTAGCAAGAGCCTAGGGCAATAGGACAGAAGACTTGGCAGGTTTGTTGGACAAAGTATAACATGGTCATCAAAAATAAGGACTCTGGAAAGAAATGAGACACCAAAGCGAATATACTATATAATTCCACTTCTAGGAAGTTCAAAAATAAACAAAGTTAATCCATAGTGAGAGATAGCAGAATGTTGTTTACCTTTGGAGGCCTGGAGCTTGTGTCCAAGGGGCTGGCCTAGAACCTAAGGCTGCAAGGTCAAGCCTGTCTCTCGGTTGGGCCTGGAGCCTGTGACCACATGAGCTGGTCTGGAGACTGGGACAGTTGGCCTGGAGACTCCTGGTGCTGGGGTGGTCCTAGAGTCTGGGCTTACTGGGGTAGGCCTGCTGCCAGGGTCTGAAGTGAAGGTGAGAGCTCACTTCACACTGCTTTTCCCACATGAAGGGTATTTATCTGCATGATGTGTTGCCCAGGCTTGTGAAAACAGTGACATGGTGTCTTTAGTCTGTTTTGTGCTGCTATAACAAAATATCTGAGAGACTGGATAATTTATAAATAGCAAATTTATTTTCTCATCATTCTGGAGGCTAAGAAGTCCAAAATCAAGGCCCTGATAGGTTTGGTTGTTTGGTGAGGGATGCTCTCTGCTTTCAAGATGGCATCTTATTGTTGCATCTTCTGGAGGGGAGTAATACTAGGTCTTCACATGGCAAAAGGTGGAAAGGCAATGAGGTGAACACTACACAAAGCCCCTTTTATAAAGGCCTTAATCATGAGAGAAGGAGAGCTCATGACCTCTTAAAGGCCCCATCTCTTAATACCATCATATTGGTCATTAAGTTTCAGCACATGAAGTTTGGAGAGGACACATTCAAACCATAGCACACAGGTAATGTAAAACTGTCTTTCCTGTCGTCATGAATACATGTTTTCTTATTTCCATGCTACATCCAGGTGCTATAATCCCTCACTTGAATTTCTTAGTTCTTGTAAAGGTATTTTTTTAGTGTGGATAGATGTTTAAATTTATGTTTCTGTGAGATGAGTACTAGGAACTTCTGTTCCACTATTTTGCTGATGTCATTCTTCAACAAGTTCCTTGTTCTAATCTCTGAACATAATTGTTTTGTTTGTCAAACATTGTCTGACTTAATTTACCAGTAGATGGCAGTCCAAAGTAAAGCGGAACATATTATTACTACCCATCCTCCTACCCAGCGTGCCTCCCCACCCCACGCCAATTTTTTTAAATTGGCTATAAATTAGTAAGTGGTTATCAGCAGGGCACGGTGGCTCACGCCTGTAATCCCAGCACTTAGGGAGGCCGAGGCAGGCAGATCATCTGAGGTCGGGAGTTCGAGACCAGCCTGACCAACATGGAGAAATCCCATATCTACTAAAAATACAAAATTAGCCGGGCATGGTGGCGCATGCTTGTAATCCCAGCTACTCAGGAAGGCTGAGGCAGGAGAATCACTTGAACCCGGGAGGGGGAGGTTGCAGTAAGCCAAGATTGCGCCACTGTACTACAGCCTGGGCAACAAGAGCGAAACTCGGTCTCAAAATAATAATAATAATAATAATTGGTTATCAGTATGAAGTCTTTCACATTTTTCTAATAAATTCTTCACACTCTTACCTGACAATTAAATAATTCTTGTTACAGGAGAATCCCTAGGCAAATTCACGTGTGACATGCAAGAAACTCTAAGGAAAAGGGTAAAAGTAAAAAAATTATGTCTTGCTTTCCAACAAAATTTATCACTGAGAAGAGGTGAAATGTAAAAGCAAAAGGAAATGGGAAAGAAAATTGCTCTTGTATTTTTCCAAATCCATTCATTTAGAGTTCTGACAAACTTGAACTGAGTGACTGGAAGCCTGGGTTATTAAATTAGAAGTTCTTCAAAAACAATGTCATTAAGACTTTCTATTGCATCAGGTGGTTACAGTATTCAATTTTTCATATATCTAATATTGTATTAACTATTTTATGACAGTGATATGTGTATATATATAAAGCTTCATATATGAGACTTTATAAAGCACATTAATATAAACTAGCTTATTTCATATTTAATCTTCACACCAATCCTGTCAGGCAGGGTAAATGTTTTTATGCATATACTGAAGTTGACTCAGAAAGATTAGGTGATTTAAGCGAGGTAATTAGCTGGTAAGCTGCAGAGCAGTGACTAGAACCCAAAACTTTTGACAACTTCAATGTTCATTTTTCTATATGACATTAACATTTCTTTTTATACATCTAAGATTTCTTCTGTGGTATTTCAATTTCAGTTATAGATACAACATTTACATTTTAGAAATAAATTTTAAAGGTCCACAATTAGTGTACCAGTGCTATGATTTGAATATTTGTGTCCCCTCCAAAATTCATGTTGAAACTCAATCCCCAATGCAAGAGTACTAAGAGAGAGATGATTAAGTCATGAGGGCTCTGACCTCATAAATGGGATTAGCACCCTTATAAAAGGGCTCAAAGGTTGAAGGGAGCTCTCTCTTGCCTTTCTGCTCTTTTGCCATGTGAGGAAAAAACATTTGTTCCCTTTTTGCCCTTCTACCATGTAAGGACACCTAGATGGCACCATCTATGGAAAATGGGGCTTTACCAGTCATCAGACTTGCTGGTGCCTTGATCTGTGACTTCTGAGCCTCCAGAACTAAGAGAAATAAATGTCTATTGTTTATAAATTACTAAGTCTCAGGTATTTAGTTACAGCAGGAGAAATGGACCAGGACACTCCCCTCTCCCAATACCATAAAACTCATACAGCCTTTCTTTGCCCAGAAGTATTTACATACTTTCAGTTTCCCCCTTTTTTTCAGCTTTTGCTTTCCTTCTATGCATTCATTTATGAGCATCTTTCCTAAAGTTAACAAACCATATAAAACTGGAACTAGCTAGGCCCCTTTTGCCTAAAAGTCTCTCAGACTCTACTTAGAATTTTCATAATAGTCATTCTTCTCAGCTTAAGGTCAGTTATGATACTAATAAGTTATCCCCCCAAAAAAGTAACTTAAACAATTTTCACCCACTAATATTTTAGCAAGAATTAGCATATTACATCATCAACATAGGTTACTTAGCAAGAGCCTAGGAAAATAGGACAGAGGACTTGGCAGTTTTGTTGGACAAAGTATAACATGGTCATTAAAAATAAGGACTCTGGAAAGAAATGAGACACTGAAGAAAATATACTATATGATTCTACTTCTAGAAAGTTCAAAAATAAAGTTAATTCATGGTGATATATAACAGAATGTTGTTTATCTTTGGAGGATTATCTACTGTTAAGGGGGGTGATTAAGGAGTCTTTCCATCAGGGAATGTTCTGGGTGATGATAATTACACAGGTATAGAACATATCAGAGTTCATCATACTAAATATTTAGGAGTTGTGCATCTTAAATCATGTAAGTTATACCTTGGTTTTACATCGAATTTTTTTAAAAGTAGAAGCTTTGAAGTCAGACAGATCCAACCAACCCAGGGTCTGCCATTTATTAGTATTATGATCCCACATATGTCACTTAACCTCTCTAAGCCATAGAAATATCCTCTGGAATATGAGGATGATAATAGTATCTACCTCATATGGTTGTTGTTTGAATTAAAAGAGCTGGCACACTTAGTGCTCAATACATTTAGCAATCTGTACTACTATCATTATAAAGGAAAAGAGGAAAAGTAGGAGACAAAAAAGAAAAGCTAAATTTCACATATGAGACTGGATTCCATGGGATATCACAAAAAAGGACACCTTGGAAGCTTGTGGGAAGAATGAAAGCACACTGCATAAGGTTGAGAATAGAGTCAGTATAACCTGATGGTTTAAATTACAGGCTCCTGAAGCTAGGTTACCTGAGCTTGAATCTAGGCTCTGCTACTTACTAGGTCTAAGTTCCTTAGCCTCTATATAGTAAGTCTGAATATTAATGCCTACTTCATATAGTTTTTGCAAAGAAGGACTTTGGAGTGCAAAGAAAAATAATGACTTTATTTTAGAATTATTTAAAATACCAGTAGAACATTTACCACTGAGCTGGAATAACACCAGTGAGTTTGATTCCCAGTGATATTTTTAACTTGGCTGGGACAGTCTCATCATTTATGTCTCTGTTTAAATGTCATATAGTTCAAGAAGCCTTCCTAACTGATCTAAAGTAGTTTATTTGTTTCCCAGGGCTTCTATAACAAATTAATACAAATTGGGTGGTTTAAAACAATGGAAACTTACTCTCTCACAGTTCTAGAGGCTGGAAGTCCAAAATCAAGATGTGGCAGAATCATGCTTTCCAAAGGCTCTAGAAAGTCCTTTCTTGCCTCTTCTAGCTTCTAGTAGTTGCTGGCAATTTTTGGTGTTCCTTGGCTTGTAGATGCATCACTCCATTCTGCCTCCATTTTCATATGGCACTCTCCCTTGTGTGTCTGTGTCTCTATTTCTGTTTTTATAAGGATACCAATCACTGGATTAGGGCCAATCCTAACCCAATATGACCTCCTCTTAACTAATTATATTGGCAAAGACCCCACTTCTAATAAAGCCACATTCTGAGGTTCTGGGTGAACAAGAATTTTGAGGGAACATTATTCAATCCAATACAAGTAACTTTTGCCAAAAAGACCAAAATAAAGTAGTTCCCTAACAAACTGTAAGTATTGTTTATCAAAAATACAGATTTTCGGCCGGATGTGGTAGCTCACGCCTGTAATCTCAGCACTTTGGGAGGCCGAGGCAGGTGGATCACCTGAGGTCAGGAGTTCGAGACCAGCCTGACTAACATGGTGAAACCCCGTCTCTACTAAAAGTACAAAAATTAGCTGGGCATAGTGGTGGGCGCCTGTAATCCCAGCTACTAGGGAGGCTGAGGCAGAAGAATCGCTTGAACCCGGGAGGCGGAGGTTGCAGTGAGCCAAGATTGTGCCTTTGCACTCCAGCCTGAGGGACAGAGCGAGGCTCTGTCTCAAAACAAACAAACAAACAAACAAAAAAACAGATTTTCTTTATAGCACAAATTGATTTTTTTTTCACTTCTTTATTATCTGTCTCTTCCAGACAGATTCTAGACTTCTTGAAGGTAGGAATCAGTATAGTGCCTGGCATTTACTTGAAGTTCAAAAATCATTTGATAGAATAAATTTATTGATTCTGGCTGGGAGAAACAAGGAAAGATAATTCAGTATAACATAAAAGTGAGCCATTGCCCCAGAAACTGTTTCCCCCTTTCAAATCACTTTTTTTTTTTTTTTGACATGGAGTCTCGCACTGTCACCCAGGCTGGTGTGCAGGGGTGCGATCTCAGCTCGCTGCGGCTTCCACCTCCTGGGTTCAAGCGATTCTCCTGCCTCAGCCTCCCGAGTAGCTGGGACTACAGGTGCGCACCACCATGCCCAGCTAATTTTTGTTGGCCAGGCTGGTCTCAAACTCCTGACCTCGTGATCCGCCCACCTTGGCCTCCCAAAGTGCTGGGATTACAGGTGTGAGCCACCATGCCCAGCCCAAATCACATTTTTTAGATAACCAAAATAAATCAGTTGAATATTTAAAAAGTAAGCCAATCAACCAAGTGTTCCAGCCACAACATGGCCTATTAAATGACATTCTGAATTCTGGAATTTGTAAATTTTTCTTCCGATGTTACATGGAGAATTAGAGGAGAGAACTGGGTAGGGAGCAAATAGAGCTACATCCCCCCCATCTTTCACTTGTACCCCCACTTCAACCATTTTCACTTGTTTTATGTAGCTTTCTGTGGGGGAAAAATAACTTTTTTTTTCAACTTTGAAAATCACTAATGTAAAGACAACAAGCAAACATCTCACCAGATTTTCTTCTCTTAAATATTTTGTCTAAGTAGATATTCTCTTACAGTTAAAACAGTTAATTACTATATAGCACTGTCTTCCTGATAATGAGAGCTAATTTATATCCTTATACTTACCTTGGGCTATTTAGTGTTTTAAAAGTAAAGCAGTCATGTGGTTGATGGTGGTTGGTTGGTTGTTTTGTTGTTGTTGTTGTTTACATTTTAACTACTATAACTGCTTACAATCAACATTACAGATGTGTCAAACTGCTCTAATGCTTGGATCCCAATCTCTTAAGCAGCACAGTATGGTTAAAAGAGTATGGGCTTTGAAGTCAGAAAGAACTGGGCTTGAAATTATCTTTGTCACTTCCTACTTGTGATACTAAGTAAATCACTTCTCTTAGTTTCTTTGCTTGCAAAGTAAGGATAATATCTATTTCACAGATTATGACAATTATATGCACAAATTATACAAAAGCACCTCACACACAGCAGTTATCAAATAAATGTTGGTTTCAAAATATTTTTCAAGGATATGTTATAGCATTTTCCTAATTTCAACTTTCTCATGTTGAAGAAGTCTATTATTCTATTTATTAGTTAGTAAAGTTAAAATTTTGCTGATAATGTTGCTTTCCATATATGCCTAATTGAAAGTTATCTCAAATTGGTAAGTGGCTAAAGTTCTTTCTAAAAACATAATTCAAAAAGTTCAAATAATAGATTATTTATACCTCAAGGAATATATATTTCCAATCTTGGTTTACACATGACTTTTTGAAACTGGAATAAACCTCATGAGTGGGCATAATGCCCTATAAACAGATGGATGTGAATGCTCAGGTGCCAGAAATCCAACATGGCCACAGCTGATGGAGAATGTTAAAATAGTGACAGTTCTTGCAACTGGTCATCTGTTCCTGGTAATAACTAAGTCTATCAGAAATAGAAAACAAATTCCAAAATACATGAATGTTTATTTAGTCTTCAGTAGGAATTTATATATAGTTCATATTCAAATATTTTTGGCACCCTTTAAAATCTATCAATATGCATCTGATATAATCTTTTCTTTCTACGGTTATAGATGGGAAAAAACCCAATGTACACTGTACCCAATGTGTAGACTTTTATCCTTCATCCAGCCCCCACCCTTCCCCACTAGTCCCCAAAGTCCATTGTATCATTCTTACTCCTTTGTGTCCTCATAGCTTAGCTCCCACTTTTAAGAGCTCCCACTTATAAGTGAGAACATACGATATTTGTTCTCACTGAGTTACTTCACTTAGAATAATGGTCTCCGACTCCATCCAGGTTGCTGGGAATTCCATTATTTTGTTCCGTTTTATGGCTGAGTAGTATTCCAAAAAACCTATCCACATAACCAAACACCACCTGTTCCATAAAAACTACTGAAATAATAAAAAAAAGAAAAAAGTAATTCTTTGATTAAAAATAAACACAATGAAAAAATAAATATGATGAAAAAAATTGTTTAAATAGGCAGAGATTCCTAAGTAATACAGTGACCACATTTTCAAAGATATAGCAATGCAGATGTTCATTTAAGTGGTATTTATAATACAGAAAAACTGGAAAATGTATAAATGGCCAACAATAGAATACTGGATAAATAAACTGTTCTATCTATAAAATGGCTAAATTATGCTATATCCAAACTACATTATTCAGCCACTAATACTATGGTGTGAGAAAATATTTAAAGAAATAGGAAATTATCACAATATATAAAAATACATATAATGGGTAATAAAATGATTTTTGTATGATCACATTTGAATAAATATAAGCTACATACACACATACATTTAGAAAAAGTGAAAGACTATCCATCAAATGTTTAGAGTGAGGTTCTGAGTGATTTTTACTTTTTCACCTACCTATATTTTCAAACATTTTACTATGAAAGTATATATCACAAATAATTATAAAAACAGTACTTCAGTCAATGATAAGCTAAATGGATTTAATGGCTCTTTATTCTACATTCAGAAGCTGACTGCTTCTCACCACCACCTCTGTTACTGCTCTGTTTCAAGTCATTATCTCCTTTTACCTGGAATATTCCTATAGTATCCTACCTGGCCTTCCTCCTGCTTCTGCTTCTTGCCCCAATTCAGTTAGCTCTTCTTAATAAAATAGATCATGTCACCTCTCTACTTCAAGTCCTCCAAAGGCTTATTTCACTTAGAGTAAAAATCAAAATTACCAAAATAGCTTAGAGTGACTTATGATTGGAACTCTCTACTCTTCTTCATTGGACTCCTTCTACTCTCACCTCATTACATCTTTTACTTCGTCTCCTAGTGAGCTTCCACTTTGCACACTACTTTCCAGCCTCATTGGTCTTCATGCTGGACCTTGAACACACTGGGGTTTTGCATGTGCAGCTCCCTTTGCCTGAAATGCTCCTCCCTGGATATTCAATGGCTTGTACTTTTCTTCCTCCAGGTTTCTATGTAGTTGTCTTTTCAGACTTTCTTTTTATCGGATTTAGTATTATAATCCTCCATGCTCCTACCTCTACCCAGACTCCTTACATTCCTTCTTTGCTTTATCTTTCTCCCATAGTACCTAACCACATCTAACATACCAAAATTTTACTTGTGATTTTTCTATTGCCTGCCTCACTCTCTCTAGGGTTGAAGCCCTCTGAGGCAAGGGTTAGGGTATCTCCATCTGTTAAACAGTGGATTGCTAGAGAGAAGGTAGTGTGAAAAGAGATTTCATTCAGCGATCCAGTTTCTCAAGGGCAACAGTAAGTTGTAAAGTCCAAGGGAGCAATTTAGGAAGGCTGAAACTTAAGTTCTGCATTTTAAATTTATTTCACAACAAACTGTCACAGTGAAAATCATCATGCCTATTTATCAATTTCATCCACTAGTTAGGTAGCTAACCTAAAAGTCAAAATCAGAAATTTAAAAAAACTTTAGCTTAGCTTTCTTAACTGTCATAAAGTTTTTAAGGACAGAAGGGCAATTAAATCTGTTATAATAGATTGGGTTGAAAGGTTCTTGGTCAAATTCCACTTTCCACATTATAACAATATGTAAACTGAATAAGCTCGATTAACCACACTGCAATTTAGTTGCTATACTTTTTAGGTTTTAAAGTCATAAGCTTGTCTGACAAATGTGAAATGTGGTGTTTTTTCCCTAGTTCTTTGTCTAATGATTATTAATGATCAGGACAATGAAGCAAGTCCTTGGCATAACACTGGGTTCCCTCAGTAAAGCATATTTTTTTTTATTAGTGAGGCCAAAATAATGTTCTACTAAAACTATGATAACTTCAACCTGATGCCATTCACATAGAAAATAAGACCAAAAACTGATAATTTTTTCTCCTTAGAGAGTCTGAATTTTTGTTATTTAGAAAAATATTAAAAATATGGTTTAACTAGGACTAATATATGAATTTTTAACATAGCTATACATTTTAACTTGCATTAGGAGAAAACAGCTAATAACTCTTTATGATTACGATATCAAATAATTTTCCAAGTAAAACCTTAATAAGCATACATACTCTTAAGAGTTCTCATAGGAGACAAAACTAGAAGTTCTGTTAGTTAAAGTAATAGACTTTTAAGATTTTCATTATTTGCTTGCACTTCTTATTTAGAGGATCTGCTTCATAGGCATGCAACCTGTGCAGTAAGTAGCACAGGGCACCATGTTTGGTTATATTATTAGATTAACTGCTTGGTATCCTTTTCAAAGTAGCGATCACTGGACTTTGAGAAGATCATGTATCAAACAAGTAAATTTCAGCTCTGCCCAAAGGTGACACTTCAATCATGGTTAGTTTTTCCTAACAAGTGACAACACTGACCTGTTCAAACTTGTTAGGAAAAACTGAAGAAGCGCAGTGTCCACAGCTCAGATAACTCTGCATCAAGTTAATCTTTTTCCAACTTTCTGTAATAATTCTGGTCAAAGTAGTTGGATTGCTAGGCCTTGATAACTTGTACAATACCTTATTTCTCTAAGATTAGAGTCTATCCTCTCACCCAACTCCTAATCTCCTCTGGAACTGGATTATTCCTGCAAGAAATAAAGTAGTCATCAGGGATAAGGACCTAAAGTGAGTAGAGAGTGGGTGCTAAAGATTAACCTGTGAGTTTTTCCGAAGGACAGCTTAAACATAACTGAATCTTACACATGATCTAAGATAAGTAGGATGAGGATATGTATTTTTGGGTAGAACCAGATAATATGTTACCTTAGTTGTTGCAAGTTGAAGTCTATCAAAGAGCAGAGTTCTCATGGCTGCTTTTAAAGTACAATAATCATATTTTGATGGCCAGAACTGCTGCACTGCTACATTTAACCTTTTGTGCAGATTAGAGGGGAAAGAAGTAAATGGAAGTCCTTTAAATTGCTTCTCTTTTGAATTTTCAGACTGTACAGATATAAAAGCAAAATATTTTGGTGTCAATATAAAACAAAAACATTTTAGGTTTAAATTTATTTCTATATAGTACTACTTAGGATCAACTTTTTATACGTACAAGCTGGTTATTGGCGCTTTGGCTACACAATTTTTCAGGTAATAGAACCTTAACCACCAAAGACAGAGGAGGGATGATGGAAAGCCTTTTTTTCTCTATCTCAAGGAGGTAGACTAAATAAACCCTTTCAATTTTAAAAAGATTTCAATTTTAGTATAGCATAATTTTGTATACTATACTATATCTATATTTAGATATAGATAGGTAGATATCTAGATAAAATATAACTTTGAGTTTTACAAGTATAGTGGAAGAATTACTTTGGGAAACAATCATTATGCTAACTGATAAGAATTGGATCTTTGTCCTTGGAAAATGTATGGTCTATTTTTGGAAGCTAAAACAGACACAAGACAACACATACTATTAGGTTGGTTTTTGCCATTAAAAAAGTAATTGCAAAAACTGCAATTCCTTTTGCACCAAACTAATAAGTGTCACATAGGTAATACGAAAGTAAATTCAGAAGACAGAAGGAGACACTGTAGACAGGATTTGAAAGGAAGGGTTTTATGAAGAAAAAAAGTTATTTTTTAAAGCAAATCAAATCTATTACTTCCAGGTTAGTAAAAGAAGTACAAAAAGTATATAAGCTTATGGAACATTTATGATCTTTTTAGTAAAATATTGTATCTAAAGTTACAAACAGTTACCTGTTATTTAACATTGATTCAAAAATAAAAACAGAACACAATTTGAAAATGGAAAGGAAATACAGTTACAATACCTAGATGCCTGGTTGTAACTGTGTGGTTACTTTTTTTAAAAGTCATGCTTTTAGAAACATAAAGATTAGAAGATTTTACTCTGCAGAATAACAAGTATATGTAGATTAATAATGTTAACTTTAAACACCTTTGTAATAAAGTCAGTGATATCTGGAAGGCAGATGGAATGAAGCAAAAATAAAAGAATTGAAAGTATTCTAATTTTATTGAATAAACTCATAAAAGTCAATTTTTCTAACTACACATACCAACATACCACACTTGTTAGCTCTGCACTCAATTTATAGCATGCAGTGAGTAATCTACCATGTCTTCCAACTTATCTTAAATTATTATTTTGGATTTCTAACATATCTTCAAGAACACCATTACCTTTTAACTGGAAAGCATAAAGTATATTTGTAGTGTGACCTACACATGCCAGTATATAAAAATATATGTTTTCTAATCATAAGTTATTTTTCAGTGCCTTTAAAAATAGTAGTTCTTGGCTGGGTGTGGTGGCTCACGCATGTAATCCCAGCACTTTGGGAGGCTAAGGTGGGCGGATCACTAGAGGTCAAGAGCTCAAGAGCAGTCTGGCCAACAAGGTGAAACTCCGTCTCTACTAAAAATACAAAAAAATTAGCTGAGCATGGTGGCGCACGCCTGTAATTCCAGCTACTGGGGGAGGTTGAGGCAGGAGAATCGCTTGAACCCGGGAGATGGAGGTTGCAGTGAGCTGAGATCGCGCCACTGCACTCCAGACTGGGTGACGAAGCAAGACTCCATCTCAAAAAAAAAAAAAAAAAAAAAAAGGTAGTTCTTCACACTTTCAGATGATAAAAATTTAAAATCATATATATGTCATATATATAAATCATATATGTATATATGTATGTGTGCATGTGTGTATAGTAGTGGCTACCTATGTAAATAAAAAATAAAATCACGTATTCAAGTAAATTATATACAGTGATGGTGTATCATAGCTACTCTATTTTTTTTTTGCTAAAAAAATAGTAAGAGTTGGAAAAAAGATAGTAACTTTCTTGGAGGCAAAAGCGTATGTAGATATGTATGAGTCAAGGAGAGCTGTTTTCTCAGACAGGCACTTGGCTAACTCCCTCAGGTCCCTGTTGTTTGCTCAGGTCTAACCTAATTGAGGGCCACTCTGCTAGCATACTTACTAATGGAAGCTGTTCTTCTCCAAGTAATTAGTACCTCCCTTTCTCTGGCCTACATACCCCATTACAGCACAAATCACCTTCTAACACAGTATATAATTTATTATGTTTATTGCTTATTGTCTGCATTTTCCTGCTAGAATGCAATCTCCAGGTAGCCAGGGTTCATTATTTTATTCAATGGTATATAGCAAAAACCTAGAATAAAGCCTTGAAGTACAGCAATTACTCAATAAAGATCTGTTGAATCAAAATGAAATGAGTAAGACCAGAAGCAACAACCAGATTTTATGAAGATATTACTGTACATAACAATATGCTATTTTTTTGTAAAGGCAAGTTAATTGTATTTCTCGGATGGGGTTGTTCAGAATATACAAAAAATACTGTCCTTAAGAAATATTAAATTCATAGTCTGACACCTAAATCATATGTACATCAACATGCACTTGATGCAACCTCATTTCCTGCAGATCTTTTGCTTCTGTTACCTGCTCAGAGATGTCTTCACTGACTTTATCTAAAAGAGCACACCATCCCCTTATCATTCTCTAGCTGTTATTTCCTTGATAGTTCTAATCACTGCATATTATATTGAATATTTATTGTTTATCTCCTCCATAAAAACAGGAACCTTATCTGCCTTCCTTACTGCTCTACTTTCCCTGTATTTGGATGAGTGCCTGGTACACAGTAAATACCAGCATGAATGCACTGGGAATTTGCATGGACCCATGTTGTCCTTCATATAAAAGAATGATCTAATTGTTTGTATCCAGATCTGAAGTTGGAAAGCAATCACTTGTATTATTCCCTCACCAATAAAACAAACAAACGAAGAACAGTTCTTCATGCTTCACACCATATAGACTGCGATGGTTAAAAGGCTTGACTAGATACATGCTAGATGTTATTGCACCAAATATCAATGAAATTCAATATTCACCTGGAAGATTAAATCTTCAATCATATTAAATACAAGTTTTAGATTTACTCTGTTTTTTTCTGGGGTTAAATTATATTCATTTAATTGATTAGAAGTGAAGATACTGATCTAAAATTCTGTGAAATTCTGTTTAATTTTAAAACTTCAGCAAGGTGAATGCTAAAAGTAAAGCAGTAGTTCAGACTCAGTTGCTCTTTCATCCCACTTTTCTGTTTAAAATATAAGACTGAGTGACAATATCTGGATTGAATGACATAGCTGTCTGTCTTTGTAATGGGTGGCAAATGCAAAGAGGAGCAAGATTTTTAAGAATAACATTCTGCAAAGGATGTTGCTTACCTAGTCTGCTCTGTCTGAACACCAGAATCTTCACTCAAACTGTTAATTGTAGATATCTTTAAAATTCTGCCCAGAATGTTTTCAATTGCAGAACTTTATAAAGTTCACCAAAGAAGTTGATAAAGACTGAAAGCACATTTTGAAATGAACTATATAATGTAAGCATACATGTTATTAAATATCTATCTGGTTTACTAAAAGTCCTGCTTCTTTTTGCATTTGCTACCCATTACAAAGACAGGCAGCTATGTCATTCAATCCTGATATTGTTACCCATAGGCAGCAAAATCATTCAATCTGGATATTGTCAGCCAGTCCAGATTTTAAACAGAAAAGTAGGATTAGAGAGCAACTGAGTCTGAACTACCACTTTAGCATTGGCTTAAGGTTTTTTTTGTTTGTTTTTTTTTTTTAGATGGAGTCTTGCTCTTGTCACCTGGAGTGCAGGGGCGCAATCTCGGCTCACTGCAACCTCCAACTCCCTGGTTCAAGCGATTCTCCTGCCTCAGCCTCCTGAGTAGCTGAGATTACAGGCACCTATCACCACACAAGGCTAATTTTTGTACTTTTTTAGTAGAGACGGGGTTTCACCATGTTGGCCAGGCTGGTCTCGAACTTCTGATCTCAGGTGATCTGCCCGCCTCGGCCTCCCAAAGTGCTGGGATTACAGGCATGAGCCACCACGCCCAGCCCTGGCTTTACTTAAGTTTTAAAATCAAATAGAAAAAAAGAGGGATGACTCCTTTAATTATATCCTACATAGATTCTCTGATTTTTCAGTTATTTAAAGTTATTAGAACAATCACAATATATTAAAGAATCATGTTGTTAACTTTAAAGCTTCAATCTCCAGCTCAATTCAAAGCTCTTTACACTATTCCCCTCTACTCTCCCCCGACCCCAAGTACAGAGAAAAGGGCGATTATTTTCTTACTTGACTGGGTAAGGATGCAGTCCTCATTAACTGGATTTTGATAACCTCTGTGTGACAGTATCCAAAAGCTAGATCTATAATGAGGCTTCTTTGAGGGAGCCTGCAGGGGCTTCCCATTATGTAGTTTCCTGATGTTGGTCATCTGGATCCAGTTTACTGAACCACTTTAATTTCTCTTGCTGCAGAGATTCCCTCTTGCTGAGGTCAGCGCGCATACTGACAAAATGGCTGAAGCTCACCTACTTTCCCTGGTGTTCATACCATCCATGGGAATCTCCGTTATTCTTGACACACTAAATGATGGGCATGAAGACCACTTTCTTGCTGTCCTGGCCTCTGTTAGTCTATCATCTCTTGCAAATTCTCTTTCCTCTACTCATATAGCTCCAGGAGCTCAGCAAGTCCTCTGTCCCAGCAAACACCCAACAGAGAAAAGAAATATGCCTCTTATTTTGGTAATCCCAATCTTTGGATATAATTCTCTTCATGCAACCCCGACTCCAATTATATATTGGGAACAGTCCTGTCCACAAACTGATTCTCCAAAAGGCCTCCTTATTTTCTCTCAGGCCTACCATTTTTTTAATGAAGGGTGAGTAGGAGTGGTGGTGGTGAGGTAGTGGTGGTGGTGATAGGTATGCTTGTGACACTACTTGGCTAATACTATGGGATTATTCAGTTATTTTAACTTAGAATGTGAAGTATTTAATAATTTTATTCTCAGTTTTGGGGCATAATCATAATTACGGGGCAATGGGAAAACTCCCACTCAATATTATATTATAAATGCATCAACAAAAAAGAAAGATTCTGTTGTACCTATAGTATTATGATATCAAGTGTTAGCCAGTCCTTGCCTAATGTATTGGCAAAACCTCAGTCCTAAAAGGGTAAGAGAAATATCTTATTTGGTCCTGTTAAAAACATCTTCTGTGATACCCAATTCACATCATGTGTCAACTTTTTCAGAGAGGAGGTCTCACTAGATTGCCCAGGCTGGTCTCAAACTCCTGCACTCAAGTGATCCTCCTGCCTAGGCCTCCCTACGTGCTGGGATTAGAGGCGTGAGCAGCCACGCCTGGCCTTGTGTCAATTTCTTATAACAAAGCTGTGGTAGAGAATTCTCAATCCCTATGTACAGGAACCCAAAATTCAGCCTTTCAAGTACAGTATCTCCATCAAATGTAGTTAGATAGCTTGTGGTTTTGTAAGATATTAATTAAAATCTTCAATAAAAAAGAACTAAGGTACTTAGGTACACATATATTAACACCTTAACATACCAATGGGCTGGGCACAGTGGCTCACACCTGTAATCTCAGTACTTTGGGAGGCCAAGGTGGGAGGAGTCTCAAACCCAGGAGTTTGAGAACAGCCTGGGCAATATAGGGAGACCTTGTCTCTACAAAAAAATTATTAAAAGTTAGCTGGATGTGGTGATGCATGCCTCTAGTCCCATCTGCTCTGAAGGCTGAGGTGAGTGGATCACTTGAGCCCAGGAGTTGGAGACTGCAGTGAGCTCTGATTGCGCCACACTGTACTCTAGCCTGGGTGACAGAGTGAGACCCTGTCTCAAAAACATACGGGGAAAAAAAAAAAAAGAAGAAGAAAAAAAAGTAACAAACAAATTTGGCAATAATGAAACCTCTTAATTCAGAGCATTACAATGAAATCCTTTGCTTTTTAACAGAATACTTACCAGTATCTTATGGAACTAGTGTACTGAGGAATCTAGTTTAGAACCTTCCTTTCCTTTTACTTTTTCCTTTCCTTTTTCCTTTCCCTTTTCCTTTTTTTCTTCCTTCCTTTTTCCTTCCTCTCTCCCTCCTTCATTCCCTTTTTGTAATTTTTGTTTCTATAAGGAACTAGGCAAAGCCAAGTAAATTCTTTAACTTAATTAAAGAAGTGTAATAGCTCTCTTTTGCTCCCACTCCACCATGTTGAGATGCCTGCTCACCCTTCACCTTCCACCATGATTGTAAGCTTCCTGAAGCCCTCATTAGAAGTCAGGCAGATTCTGGTACCATGCTTCCTGTACAGCCTGCAGAACTGTGATCCAATTAAATCTTTTTTTCTTATAAATTAAAAAAAAGTATAATAAATATGTCTGTTGTTGTTGGTTCATTCAAAACAGATTTTCTCTTCCCTCTGCTCTATTGTAAGTGGTGTTGTTTTTAATAAGATTCTAAGATTCCCTAGCTTTTAGCAAGAAGAGATGTTTTCAGGATAAGGCTTTCAAAAAGGTCTTCCTTACTAAGTATTTAGAAGTCCTGTGTTTTACGGTATCTTTTTGTGCTACATTATCACCTGTTTCTTCAGTGGCAGCTGCTGAGTTTGTAAAAGATCAATTGGCTGTTTCTCTGGATTTTGCCATTTAACTATTACATGCTCGCTTATATGGGTTATGCTTATGAAGAGTTGTTTCCTAATTGCAGGCTGCTTCATTAGAAGGAAAAGAAGAGGTTTTGGGATAATATTCCTCCAGAATCACCTTCACCAAAGTTATGGCAGCTGTAGCAACTTTTATAATCTAGAATCTAATGGAAACTAATCTTACTCTTACTGAGGAAGTACAATAAGTGTTTTATAAAATATGGTGTTTACCTCTACATTAGGCAGTGTTTTTAAAAATCTTAATTAACACTATCAATTCTAACTACTTCAGAGTTGGACATCATATTAAAAATGTAAGGTTGTTTAAGAACTGTTGTAAATATCTGGTAACTATCTTCTTCTAAACAATGTCTTTAAAAAGTGGTGCGTCTTTTAAAACCCTCTTAGTAATTGTGAAAGGGATGCCATTACATAAACTCAAGATTAGTTAACATGTTTATTTTTTAAAGTGACTTAAAAACATATTTTTATGGCAGGAAAATAAAACATGATCACTAGTTGACGCTATAAAATGTAATCATTTAGGGATATGTTTTACGTCCCCACCTTACCTGATTTTAGTTCTCAACAGAAAATATTTAACTCAACTAGCTAGCACATTTATATTTCTGTTGTTGTTTTTTTACATGGCTGTCTATATAGTCTATTATTTTCTTGCATTTTCCTTTTCAGGTGCCTCATTAGTAATTTTATTAAAAATTCTTAGATTACGTGTGGTTTTCCACATAAAACTATTATCATCATCATCGCAACTATTTGAGTGGTTGGTTCATTCCATACACTATACTAAGCATTTGCATATGTCGTCTGATGAAATTTTTTTTTTTTTTTGAGATGGAGTCTCGCTCTGTCATCCATGCTGGAGTGCAGTGGCGCAATCTCGGCTCACCGCAAGCTCCACCTCCCGGGTTCATGCCATTCTCCTGCCTTAGCCTCGAGTAGCTGGGACTACAGGCGCCCACCACCACGCCGGGCTAAGTTTTTTGTATTTTTAGTAGAGATGGGGTTTCACCGTATTAGCCAGGATGGTCTCGATCTCCTGACCTCGTGATCTGCTCGCCCCGACCTCCCAAAGTGCTGAGATTACAGGCGTGAGCCACCGCGCCTGGCCCATCCGATAAAATTTTTATGACAATCCTGAAAGGCATAGTCATATTTTTATGCTCGAATTTTAGGCAGCAAAACTGAGGTTTGTAGAAGTAATTTTTAAAATACTGCATTTTTTTCAAAGGGCACTGAAGCTTGCATGTGTTTCGGTTAGATAAAATTGCAGATCTTAGCTATTCAAAACCCTTACGCTCATAATCTTGCTTCTTAAATCCCTAGTGGCCCACTAACATATTCTTTAGTATTTGTGAGTTCTCACAAAAAATCTTTAGTTTTGTAGCTTTATTTCAAAGGTAATCTAAAAGTTAACATAACTCTGTTTTGGATTAAAAAAACACCATTATATAAATAAATACTTCGACTTGAGTGCCCATGTTTTTGTTTGCTTATAATGGAGTTGGAGCCAGACTATCTAACTTAAAATTGCCCTGGACTACAGTAAAGAGTAAGTTAATTAATGATCCATTTATGCCAGGTAAAGGTCAAATACTGTAATTGCTTGCTTCTGGTATAAAGGTTTCAAAAAAATCGTAAGAGAAAACTGTTAGGAAAATTGAGTTATCACATAGCAACATAGGTATCTCAAATTCAAATAAATCTGTGCTCTATTTCCAGTGATGATTTAGGCTTAACAAAAAACTTACACATTAATGTTAACTTAAAATATTTTAGTTTTATTTCATTCCTAATTTTTTTCTAGTTTAATAGTTAAAATAGAGCTAAAAACCTAAGTTTACTCCTAGTTTTCTATTTGTACATATTAGGGTAACTTTATAAGAAAAATAGTTTATCACACTGGGTATCCACAAAAATTCATAAAAGGTGCTCCTATAGTACTCAAGACTGAGAAACAGTAGTGTATAATCTGTGAGGCCAGTGCATAATAGCAATTCAATAGTTAGTTGAATCAGAATTTTAAGCATCTACCTAGGTTCTCCATATTTATTCATTTGATTGATTAGTAACAATTAAAAAATATATTCTGTGGCCAAACTATGTCAGAGTTACTTTCTTCCCCATTATTAAGTGCACTAAATTCATAGTAGGGAGTTTTAGTGGTTCTTAGACATTTTTTTTTTCAGTAAGGACCCCTTCGAGAATCTTGTGACATCTATGGATCCTCTCCCAAGAAAACGGATATACAAAAATATTACACACAACATTTTAAAAATTACATACATTTAAAAAAGAAAGAATAGGTTCTGTAGTTACAAAACCTGAATTCCAATCCTCTCTCTTTATAATCTTTGTAATCTAAAGCAGCCTCGTTTTTTTTTAAATTATACTTTAAGTCTTAGGGTACATGTGCACAACGTGCAGGTTAGTTACATATGTATACATGTGCCATGTTGGTGTGCTGCACCCATTAACTCATCATGTAACATTAGGTATATCTCCTAATGCTATCCCTCCCCCCTCCCCCCACCCCACAACAGTCCCCAGAGTGTGATGTTACCCTTCCTGTGTCCATGTGTTCTCATTGTTCAATTCCCACCTATGAGTGAGAACATGCAGTGTCTGGATTTTTGTCCTTGCGATAGTTTGCTGAGAATGATGGCTTCCAGTTTCATCCATATCCCTACAAAGGACATGAACTCATCCTTTTTTATGGCTACATAGTATTCCATGGTGTATATGTGCCACATTTTCTTAATCCAGTCTATCATGGTTGGACATTTGGGTTGGTTCCAAGTCTTTGCTATCGTGAATAGTACCGCAATAAACATACGTGTGCATGTGTCTTTACAGCAGCATGATTTATAATACTTTGGGTATATACCCAGTAATGGGATGGCTGGCTCAAATGGTATTTCTAGTTCTAGATCCCTGAGGAATCGCCACACTGACTTCCACAATGGTTGAACTAGTTTACAGTCCCACCAACAGTGTAAAAGTGTTCCTATTTCTCCACATCCTCTCCAGCACCTGTTGTTTCCTGACTTTTTAATGATCACCATTCTAACTGGTATGAGATGGTATCTCATTGTGGTTTTGATTTGCATTTCTCTGATGGCCAGTGATGATAAGCATTTTTTCACGTGTCTTTTGGCTGCATAAATGTCTTCTTTTGAGAAGTGTCTGTTCATATCCTTTGCCCACTTTTTGATGGGGTTGTTTTTTTCTTGTAAATTTGTTTGAGTTCATTGTAGATTCTGGATCTACATTGTAGTTCATTGTAGCCCTTTGTCAGATGAGTAGATTGCAGTAGATTTTCTCCTATTCTGTCGGTTGCCTTTTCACTCTGATGGTAGTTTCTTTTGCTGTGCAGAAGCTCTTTAATTAGATCCCATTTGTCAATTTTGGCTTTTGTTGCCATTGCTTTTGGTGTTTTAGACATGAAGTCCTTGCCCATGCCTATGTCCTGAATAGTATTGCCTCGGTTTTCTTCTAGGGTTTTTATGGTTTTAGGTCTAACGTTTAAGTCTTTAATCTATCTTGAATTAATTTTTGTATAAGGTGTAAGGAAGTGATCCAGTTTCAGCTTTCAACATATGGCTAGCCAGTTTTCCCAGCACCATTTATTAAATAGGGAATCCTTTCCCCATTGCTTGTTTTTGTCAGGTTTGTCAAAGATCAGATGGTTGTAGATATGCAGCATTATTTCTGAGGGCTCTGTTCTGTTCCATTGGTCTACATCTCTGTTTTGGTACCAGTACCATGCTGTTTTGGTTACTGTAGCCTTGTAGCATAGTTTGAAGTCAGGTAGCTTGATGCCTCCAGCTTTGTTCTTTTGGCTTAGGATTGACTTGGCGATGTGGGCTCTTTTTTTGGTTCCATATGAACTTTAAAGTAGTTTTTTCCAATTCTGTGAAGAAAGTCATTGGTAGCTTGATGGGGATGGCACTGAATCTATAAGTTACCTTGGGCAGTATGGCCATTTTCACGATATTGATTCTTCCTACGTATGAGCATGGAATGTTCTTCCATTTGTTTGTATCCTCTTTTATTTCATTGAGCAGTGGTTTGTAGTTCTCCTTGAAGAGGTCCTTCACATCCCTTGTAAGTTGGATTCCTAGGTATTTTATTCTCTTTGAAGCAATTGTGAATGGGAGTTCACTCATGATTTGGCTCTCTGTTATTGGTGTATAAGAATGCTTGTGATTTTTGCACATTGATCTTGTATCCTGAGACTTTGCGCAAGTTGCCTATCAGCTTAAGGAGATTTTGGGCTGAGACAATGGGGTTTTCTAGATATATCTAGCAACCTCTCTTAAAGCCTCCATTTCCTCATCTGTAAAATGCAAATACCACCTATCACACAGAAATGTTACACAGATTGAGTGAAATCATGTAATTATGGTGCTTGCCATTTAGCAGATGCTAAACTAAGTGGTTAACTATTTTTCTATTGTTAGAGGTTTTATTATGCTGATTGGTTACAGCCATTTTTTAGATTCCAAGGATCTTATATTCTTTCCACTGATTACCTCATTTATTTGGCTTCTCCTTTTAGGATATTTTTTATAGATGATAGTGACCCACAAAAGCACTGGAGGGGTAATAGCATCTTTAATGTTCAGTTCAGAATAGAAGTGCCTTTAATACTGCCATGATCAATTCCAAAGGTGATGAGTATTAGAGAGATTCAATATATGGACAAGGATATTTAAAGGGGGGGAAATGTGGTTCACCAATTTAAATGATATCTGCTACATACATGTAGCATACAAGAAAATGGAAAAAATTATACTATTATTCTGACATCACATAGTTTTCTTGAGAACTAAATGACAAGGTGATGTGATTTATAATATTATATATATAGATCTATCTTCTGTATGCACGTTTTAGTTTTCGTCTCTGTTTCCTAGCCCAGAGGTCCTAAAACTTCTAGATAAAGGGCACTAGGAGAATCTTATTCTATTCAGTCTTTGACCCTTGGTTCCTGACAGAGCTCCTAAGCCCCTTGGAATTTCCTGGACGATAGGAGAATCTTTTGTTCTAATGAGGTAACTCTTGATGGGCTCCTGGGTAGCCTCAGGATGGGAGCTGGTTGCCAGGGAAGCCAACCATGTGATTAGGGAGTTGGAACTTTAACCTGGCTCCTCACCTCCAGGGAGGGGAGAGGGGGTTAAAGGTTATTTGCTCACCAGTGACCAATAATGTAATCAATCATGCCTACATAATGAAGTATCCATAAAAGCCCAAAAGGACAGGCAGGGTTCAGAGAGCTTCCTGATAGCTGAACACTAGGAGGTTCCTGGAAGCTGGCCTGCCTGGAGAAGGCATGGAATTGCCACACCTCTTCTCCCTACCTATACATAGGGCAAGGTATGGGAGAAAAGGTGTGCAGATTCCTCTTCCATCCAGCTGTTCACCTGTATGCTTTGTAATATCCTTTATAATAAATGGGTAAATGCTAGTAAAGTGTTTCTCCGACTTCTGTGAGCCACTCTAGTGAACTAATTGAACCTGAGGAAGGGATCATGGGAATCCTGATTTACAGCTTGGTCAGGAGTATCGGTGACAACCTACTACTTGTGGCTGGTACTGGAAGTGGTGGGGGCAGTCTTGCAGAACCGAGCCCTCAATCTGTTCGATCTGATGCTGCCTCCAGGTAGATAGTGTCAGAACTGAATAGAATTGAGACACCCAGCTGATGTCTGCTAGAAAATTGATGGTTTGATGTGGGCGGGGGTGAGGGGGGACCGCTATCCCACCCCATCTTGTTGCAGAAGTATTGTATTGAGTAGTATTTGAGAACAGGGAAAAAGTTTGGTTTTTCCTCTCTCAGAGACAAAACATAGTGCCTGGAACATGACTGAGATTTCAGCTACATTTGAAAAATAAATGGCAAATGAATACTGAGTCAGAACAGAACATCTTATTAAGGTGAGAAGGCATTTATTCTATTATTCTCAAAACTGGTAATATTAAAAACATACTTTATGTTCATATCTGAAACACAAACAAATAACTCTAAGGAACTATCCAAATTTCTTTCATTTTCATTGTCACTTTGGTATTTTAAGCATCAAATATTGCTTGAAATATTTGAGCATAAACATATTCTGGTTATGTGTTTTATATAGTGTCACTATAGCCATCATAACAAGATTTCACAGAAGGCTGAAGAAGTTTTAATAAAGATCCTCAGTCAATATAAAATGCTCCAATAACAGTAACTGATATAAAAATAATGAAAAAATAGTTACGTTTGCAAGGCTGACTTAACACCTCGTGTATATTTCGTTAGATGATGTTTGTGAGACTTACAAATTAAACATTTGTATTTTAAAACTTTTTCTTTTGCTCTTAACAATGTATCATGTCAATAAAATTTCCTCCACATCATTTCAAATGGCTGAATACTGTTCACTGTATGGATGTTGCTTAACCAATCTCCTAATAAATGATGCAGTAAAGAATACTCTTGCAATTAACTTGTTAAACACACCCTTATTTGCTTATAATACATTTCTCTTTTTTTTTTTTTTTTTTGAGACGGAGTCTCGCTCTGTCACCTAGGCTGGAATGCAGTGGCACAATCTCGGCTCACTACAACCTCTGCCTCCTGGGCTCAAGTGATTCTCCCATCTCAGCCTTCCCAATAGCTGAAACTACAGGCACCCGCCAGCATGCCCAGCTAATTTTTGTATTTTTAGTAGAGATGGGGTCTCACCATGTTGGCCAGGCTGGTCTTCAACTTGTGCCCTCAGGTGATCCAACCCCACCTCAGACTCCCAAAGTGCTGGCATTACAGGTGGCTCTCTGAGCCACCGTGCCTGGCCTTTTCTTTTGGACAGAGTCTTGCTCTGTCACCCAAGCTGGAGTGCAGTGGCATGATCTCAGCTCACCGCAACCTCCGCCTTCCGGGTTCAAGCGATTCTCCTGCCTCAGCCTCCAAGTAGCTGGGACTACAGGCGTGCACCACCACACCTAGCTAATTTGTTTGTATTTAGTAGAGACGGGGTTTCACCATGTTGGCCAGGCTGGTCTCAAACTCCTGGCCTCAGGTGATCCACCCGCCTTGGCCTCCCAAAGTGCTGGGATTACAGGCATGAGCCACTGCACCCAGCCTGCTTATGACACATTTCTAAAAGAATCGCTGGGTCAAATGCACATGGCTCAAGGCTTTTGATACATATTGCCAAACTGCACTCTAGAAAAGTGCTGCCAACATACACTCTCAGCAATATAAGCAGCCCTGTTTCTCTGAATCCTTGCCAGTATTATCAAGAAATAACCACTTGTTAAAATAGTGCCTGAAGACTAAATTAATGTTTAACATGTTTTGTCACTCATAAGTTGGGCTTACTATTAAACTTTTAACTGTTATAGTATTACCATTCAAAGCTTACACATATTTAAGATGAAGAAACTGAGGTCTAGTAAATTATAATTCAGACCCCTTTTAGTGTGAATTTTAGCCCTGGATATACTGCAGTGCAGTCTTTTTTTTTTTAACTTGTACTAGCCTTACAGATTTCCCAGAAAAAGGTAGACATCTTCTTTATTAAGTTGGAGGTCAGGAATATCCTATTAGTTTAGTACTGTTTTTCCTGTTTCCTAGATTGGATTTTACAAATTTTGTGTTAAGGATATCTGTTGACATTTACTCATTTATTATTTAAAAAGTCTAGCTAATCTTGGATAAGAATTTTGTTGATTCATTCACTCACTAATTTAACAGCATTTATCTAATGCCTACCATGTGTGAAGGATAAAGTAGTGGAAAAAAACAGGTGTAGTTTATATTTTTGTAGGGTGAAGGGAGGTAGAAAATAAACAGTGAATAAACAAGATAATGATAAATTATAAATGCTATTAAGAAAATAGAGGGGCACGTGATTGACAGAGAATAAATGGGAACGTGAGCTATTTTAGATACGGTGGCCAGGGAAGGCCTGTCAGAGATATTTGGGTTAACCTGAAGGAAGAGAATGAGTCAGCCATATCCAAGACAGAAGACCACATCCCAGGCAGAAAAAAAATAAATAAATAAAAAATAAAAAGCAAGTGCAAAGGCCCTGAGACAGAGTATCAGGTAAGATTAAATTCAGTTGAGAACAAGAGACTCCAAAATAGTGGCTTTAATAATATAGACATTTACGACTGCAGGGCTAGCATGGTGCTCTGATCCATAAAGTTCTCACAGACCCTGGTTTCCACCAGTTTAGTTTTGCCATCCCTAGAATGAGAGAACTTGCATGAGGCACAAATTGGCAGCTACAGTTCTAAGCCATCACATCTATATTCCACGGTACAGGATAAAGGAAAAGCCGCATTGAAGGTGTGCACCAACTATCTTTTAAGGATGGTTTTACAAGTGTGCCACATGATATACTGCTTACATCCCATCAGCCAGCACTATTACATGGCTACAAGGAAGGCTGCAAAATATAGTCTTTGTTCTGGGTAGCCATGTATCCATGTCTATTACTATGAAAAAAATGGAGGAATTTTTGGGGACAACTAACAGACTCTGCTACAGACTAGAAAAAGCACAGCCCACGACAGAAAGGAGGCAGTAAGAAGGGTGAGAACAACTTCCTGTGCTGCTTCCTGGGAAGATGGAGAAGTGGGCAGGAGCCAGATTATGCAGTCTTGAAGGCTATGGTAAGGAATTCCGATTTCATTCTGTGTGCATAAGGAAGCTATTGGAGGGTTTTAAACAAGGGAGTGACATAACCTAATAACATTTTTTAAGTGATTGCTTTGGTTGGTATATAGAGAATGGTTTAAATGGGAAAATATTCATGAGGGTACAGATAGAAAGTGATAGCAACTAGTGTGGTTATTGCTGTGGTCCAGCAACAGATGATGGTGGCTCCCAAGGGTTGTACCAGTGGAAGTGATAAGTAGCTAAATTCAGAATGTATTTGTCAGGAAGAACTGATGGTACTGTCTGATGAGTTGTATGAGTGTGAAGAATCAGAAAATTCCAAGTTTTATGCCTGAGCAAATAAGTGAATGGTGGTACTATTTATGAAAATCAGGAATTCTAAAGGAGCAGCAGATTTAGGGAATGAACAAAGGGGATTCAAATGTTGTTTCAGACACATTAGAGAAGCCTGTCCTTTTTATCCCTTGCCATGGCAAAATTTTCAATACCATCCATATTTTTCTAAAAATGGGTGGCCTCCTTCTTCTACAAGTTATACACAAACTCATTCTTCCCTTAATAGGGTATTTTTTTTCCCTCAACGTCTGTAATTTTTAAATAAAGTGTACAGAGAATTTAACATAATACATATTTTGGAAATATACAAAACATGTGCCTATTAGTAAGGACTACTTTTCAGGTAAAAGTAAGAAAATCTAGTAAGATAGTTAAAAGAAACCAAACTACCAAATGGGCAAACTTAATCAACATTACCAATAAAGATGAACTTTTTGATGCAACAGGACAATTTAAAAAATATACCATCTATTGGTAAGAACTCTTACTATAAGAATTCTTACTATACAAGCCTTTAACAAATGCTAGCTCATTAAATACCTAGAGTACCCTCTAAGGTAGGTATTAAAAATTTTTTAACAAATTTATAATAGATTTGGCACAAATAATAGGACAATTAAAGGCTTGTTCTTCAACCCGGCTTAAAGTGAATTCATCCTAAACAAATAGGTGTTCAGTGAGAGTCAAAGTAAGTAGTATCAAATATTGAAAGTAATAGTATCAGTGTATTTTCTCCTAACACTCCTAACCCACACATTTATTATGAAAATGTTTGTTGTTCTATCTCTTCCAGTAAAATACTCAAGGTAATAAAACTCTCATATCAGACTTACACCCTCTGGAAGTCATTCCATAGAGGTATATTCAATCTTTTAACACACCATCTTATGGTTGAAGATGTTAACATGAGAAGGAGGAGAAAGCAGGAAGAGGAAGGGACTATTTGCAGAAGACGGGGAGAAAGAAAGGAAAGACACTAGTATGTGTTGTTCCTCCTCGAATTTTCCTGAAGTGAAAAAAAAACAGTGAAGTAGAGTGTTTGATGAAATGAATAACCAAGCAAAACATTTTCTACCTACACCAGTACCACTAGGAGTTGAAATAAATTCACACAATGTCTGCTGATATGTCAAAACACCTTACCTTCAAAAACATGACAGTTACCTTTTATTTTATAGTATGCTTGTGTTTCTTCCTATTTCTTGCTTTTGACCTTCAATGATAAATGTAAACTGGATTACAGTGATTCTTTTGTAAGTAAAAGGTGACTTTTTAAAAGAAACAACCAATGGAAATAGAAATTTTATTTACTTCAAATTAACTGTACTTTACTCAAATAGAAAAGAATAATTTTCACATTATGAAGCTACACAATTCCAAAATACACATGCTGAGGCTCTTTTTAAGTCCGAATTGTCTAGTAATTACAAAAAAGTGAAGAGTTTACAGATATACAAGGAAATAAAGGCGAATTATTGCAAAGAAAACAAGTTTAATTTCACTTTGAATGACAACGATTTTTCTGGAAAGCAGATACTTCACTCCTTTAAGTTTCCACCCAAGCCACAATAATTTCAAACGGTCTTGCGGATGACCCAGCTGGTCACTCTTGTTTATGTGGGGACTGGAGGTAATGAGAGCCAAAAAAAGTGCTATAAACCTAATTTGGCTAGAGCAAGTTCACACGACACGACCGTGCTTTAAAAACTTGCTCTCCATTATGTACTTCCTTCCATCAGGTTGGGGAAAAAAAAATGGTGGGGATGGTGAGTAAACACACCAGTGGTTTCATCAGAGGGGAACTCACTACTCAGGAGGTGACGGTGACGTGGTGCCGGTCCCTGAAGTACGCGCACAAGCTCCGGAGGTTGCGGGAGCTGAGGGAGGAAACAGGGACACGATCAGATTCGCTCCAGGTGGCGGGAGTGAGGAGGGGAGGAGTGACGAGGCGGACGTGCGGGGGCGGGGGTGTCCAACACAAACACAAACACAAACACGAACACGAACACGCTCAGCGTCCCCGGGGAGGGCGGACTGAAGCCACCTCACCATTCATCGCCCCTGGACCCCGCAGTCCCCCTCGGACTCAGGGCCAGAGCCTTCTGCGAAGCAACCTAGCCCCAGGGAAACGGTAGCGGCCGCAGAAGCCCCGCTCTCTGTAACGGCCGCGGAGGAGCAGCAAGCCTCCCTGTGAGTCGGTGGGAGACAAGACGGAGCGGCGGTAAGGGCGGTAGGGAAGTGAAGCGCCTCTCTCCACCTTGTTAGAAGCGCGCTGAAAGCGGCCTGCCTACCCACCCCATCGCTGCCGTTTTGCAGTCGTCGCTCCCACCTTCCGCTGCCGCCTGGAGGGAAGCCGGAGCGACGGGGGTCACGGCGGCGGTCAGAGGGTAAAGGTCTTGCTCCCAGCAGCCTCCGCGGTGGATACGTCGCCATCTTGGATCCGCGGGACAAGAAAATTCATGCGGTGAGTTTTTGGTAAATTTTCGGAAGTCTGGCAGCGGGGCGCGCGGCGGGGGCGGCAGATTCGGGGCCCCCGCAAGGCGGGGGAATGCCCCGGGGCCGGTCCGGTCGCGCCCAGGGTCCGCCGGTAGCGTCCCGGCCCACCGCTTCCCGTTGCTTTTGTCTCGGCTCCAATCGAGAGACGGAGAGCGGAGCGGGCGGGGAGGGGGGTGGCGGCGGTGGAGGGAGGGAGGGGGTGTGTATGGGGGTGGTGGTGGACCGGACGTAAAGCGTCGCTGTACTCGGGCCGCTGCAGCAGCAGCAGCTCCAGATCCTAGGCCCGGTCCCATCCGCGAGTGGTGGGGCTTCCCCAGACTCCACTCCCCTAGGCTCCCGCCAGCGCGGAGGAGCCGCTGCCGCCGCGCTGCTTCCTGGGGGAGAAGAGAAGGCGGCAGCGGCCGTGGCCGTGGCCGACGAGCTCGAGCCCGCTTTAGACGGCTCTGCCGCCTTCCCGGCAGCTGGTGCTGTCTGTGGCTTCTTACCTTCTCTCAATACACGTATATCATCTGCCAGTTATGTGTATTTCTGTTAGTGTGTTTGCAAGTGTCAGATGGGAGACACTGGACTGGCTAACGGGTGTCAGGATCCTGCAGGCCCTGGGATACCGAAGGCTGTGCATGGTGGAGGGAGAAGGAATGCAACTGCGATGCCGCCTCTGCCACCGCACCAGGAAGGTGAAGCTTCCGTAGTGTCGTAGACTGAGTCCGGATGATCCTGGGGCGGCGGAGGAACCACAGACGCTTCTGTCTGTGAAGTTGCAAGTCCTGGGTTTCTACTTCCGCAGGGGCCTCTCCACCTTTTGCTGTCGTAGGTCTCGCTTAAAAGTTTAACAGAAGAAAAGAGTAGGGTTAAAAGAGGCCTTTGTAGTTCTTCATTGAAGCACTGTTGTCTGTCCGGGTGAAAGCTGATAACTCTTGGTAACTGTGGTCCTTAGCAAAAGAGAATTGGAGTTTTCTTTTATACAAAGTATTTCCAAGGTTTTAGACCTTATATTTATTCCAGGCCTGTAGGTACGGTATTACTACCACAAAAGTCTTACATTAAGGGTACCACCCTCTCAGAGGGAACCTAAACATCAACTTCCTTCGAATCCTTGGAGACATCTTCACTTTTCAACATCCGGAAGACTGAGTGCAACATATTTTGTTTCATTTTCATAAAAGTCTTGGTCAGAGAATCCCACTCCTTTTAAAATCGTTTGGGCAATTCCTCATAATTAAGTACACTGCTTTGAACCCTTAGTTCTTGGCGAAATGGTAAAAAGTACTCAGTTAAAATCAGTTCACGAGGGAGGCCAACTTGAATTTAAGGTTCAAAGTTGAACATATTTAGTGTCATGCTTAATATTAGGAATTTTTAGAGCTCGGAATCATAAGTGTGACTGTTGATTTCCCTTTTGAAGCAATATAAATGGAAAGAATAAAGTATGGGGTGAGGGATGAGATAGAAATTTTAAAGTATCCATTTACATGCAAGGTTGATGTTGAGTTTGGGAATGCTTGGCATAATTGACAACAGTTCTTTCCAAACGTCAATGAATAAATCTCACAATTTTGTAAGGTAACTATTGCAGATTGAAAGGGTTAAGAATCATAGTTGGCTGAAATGGTTAAGTGTCTATATTCACATCCCAGTTCATTGAAATGTTTTATAATGGACCAAGATAATTAGTAAGCTCTGTATGTTGAATTTGTTTAGTTTGTAGTTCTATTATAATGTTAAATCTAAAGAAAAAAATACAAAATACACTTAAAGACAAAACATGTTCCACTCTACTCACTTATTTCTTGACTTTGTAAGATCCTTACTGTAAAAAAGGTACTTTTCTCTCATATTTTCTGAGAGCTTGAATTGTAATAATTTTTGTGAATACTTTGTATTTTAGAGAGGAAGTGAGAAACTGCTGAAGTTTTTTTTGCATCTTGATTAGTGCTTTATCAATACAAATAAGTTAATGTAAACATTTGTTGGCAGGAATCTTTTTCTAAGTATACAATGTAGAGATATCTGTAACCTAATCTGATCTCAGGGAATGAGAATTGCCTGTTTAACCAAGCAACAAATACAGCCTATACAATTTTTCAATTTCTATAATACTTTAATTTACATGGTGGAAAAATGAGGGCAAAATGCTTGTGTATGAGTGATTTATATCCCCAAGTACCTGCTCTTGAAGATAAAACTCAGATTGTGGCTTATCTTCTGATGCTGGGCAAAAAACAAAAACAAAAAAATTCAGAATGATACAACTTCCCATATACCTCCCTACAAGAACTAATTACCTTTGTTTTTGCTTTATAACTTTGGATGTTGCACTTTTTGATTTTTCAGAGATGCTTTACAGTTATTGTAATCTGAAAATTATTTGTTCAAAAGTAAATAAAATTTTCAGGTGTATGAATAGATTTTATTAGAAGTGATTCTAACCCAGTTCTCATTTGTATTCCTTTAGTAGATACTGGTGTTAAAAGTACCTGTATTTTGAAAGACCATTACAGAATTTTTTACAACCTGTATAAGTTATAGTTTTATCTTTTCTAGTGACAGACTTACTTCATAAGATTTTCTGATAATATGAATAAAATGTATGCTTCACATGTATATATGAAATAATGAGTAAGCATTAATAGACCAATGAAAAGAACTTAGCTTACAATTTATTTTCTTGCTCTTTAAAAGCAGTGGTAAATAATAGCTTTTTTTTGTTGTTAAAATTTGTAACTGTAGAAAGTTCATTCTGTTGGGATCACATATTTGAAGGCAAACTAACAATGCCATGTGCTTGCTTGAATAGGCATTTGAGGACAGGTTATTTTCCTGAGATTTCAGGAAAATATACCACCAAACATTTATGATGTTATTTGTTACCTGGATCTGTAGTGGATTTTGTAACACAAAGAGGCAGAATATCCAGGGTACCAGGTAGGGCAGTTTAGGGGCAGAGTTAATATGAGGTGTACTGTAATGTTTGAGTGGAATTACATACAGTGTTAATCAAGAGATCTAGTGCTATGGTAGAACTTATTCTGCTTGATGATACAGGTGACTGTTCTTCCTTACTAAGAGCAGTTTCTACCTGTGATACTTAAAGGGATTGAATTTCACTGTGACTTATATCAGATATTTTGAAAAGAGCTGTGCTAAAGTTGATGTCATTGTAGAAAGTTTGCCTTGAAGTGGAATGAAAGTTAGGTTTTTATTTCTTTGGTTTTTCTGTTTGACATCCTTTGATTTCTATTTTAGAATTCAACTCTTATGACTAATCATGCTGATGTGGTTTGTTCATTTATTTTCTTTGTCTATACTATTAGGAATGTCCTGGAAATAGAATTTGTACTGTGTTTTCTGAGAGCTTGTTCTCTGAAATACAGATGCAAATCTGTTGGTATCTGTTGGTATATCCCTTGGGGGTGTGCTGCATTATAAAGTAATAAAACAGTTTACAATGTTTGCTTTTTGTCAAGAGCTTATGACATATAATATGGAAATACAAAAAAGTGAATTATTTAGGAAAAAATGGGAAATTTTTCCTTTTCTGGGCACTTCAGGGTTTTGTATATGCGTAGACTCAGGATCTAAGTCCACTTAGATATATAGTTAGATATTTTGGACTATTTGCCACTTAACCCTGCACATTTTCTTTTCCTTATTCTTTTTTTTTTTTCTTTGAGACGAAGTTTTGCTCGTCGCTGAGGCTGGAGTGCAATGGCGTGATCTTGGCTCGCTACCACCTCCGCCTCCCGGGTTCAAGCGGTTCTCCTGCCTCAGCCTCCTGAGTAGCTGGGATTACAGGCATGCACCCAGCTAATTTTGTATTTTCAGTAGAGACAGGGTTTCACCATGTTGGTCAGGCATGTCTCAAACTCCTGACCTCAGACGATCCGCCTGCCTCACCCTCCCAAAGTGCTGGGATTACAGGCATGAGCCACCACGCCCGTCCTATTCTTTTTATTCATGTGTATGTTATTGCATGTATGTGTGTGGGGGGCAGGTGGTAGTGCATATTTTATGTATCTTTCACTTCTCTGTTGTTTGATGAACTTCTTCCATACTCCTCTTTGGTATCACTTTCTTCATAAATCTTTCCTGACTCCCCAAATCCTTTGCTGTATTGCTTTTTACTCTTCAAACTTCTATTATAGAATGTCACACTGTATTGTAATTTACTGTCCATCTGGACTGGGAGCACCTGAGAGGTATGGCCTTGACTTGTTTATGTTTATGTTTTGAATGCCTCTATAGTGCATAATACTTAATAGGTTCTCAATACGTATCTATTAAACTGAACTGTTGCTAGATTGTCATTTGACAGTGCTGTTTCACAATCCACAGATCTGAAGCAACAGATTGGAAAAGTGGTGGGGAGAATAGCTTCCTGTATTCCTTCACTTCCTTGAATCCTTTCTTACAGTTTTGCTTCTTAATTACATATGGAAAAATAGATAACTAGCTTCTTAGGGAAGTGTGTGTAAAGTTAGTATGGAATTAGGGAAGGATGTTAGTAATAGAGTGATTAATACCCTGTTTTGCTTCTGGCAGGATGTTTAGATCTGTATTTCTTGCATTTCTCGCTGTATTTTGTATGGTTATGGCTATTATGTGAAGGAGATATTTTGTATTTGTCTTTACAAGGTATCATGTTTACCAGTACTTACCCATGAGCTCATATTAGATTTGGGGCTTCTGAAGATAGATTCTGTTTTTCTCACCTTTTTCCTCCTAATGCCTGGCCCATTGGTTAGTAGAAAGCAGGATTTCTCTAGTTTGAATAAAATTGCCCTTATGGAAATAAGGTGAGATGTGTCTTATTGGAGGTCCAAAATTTAAAAAGCTCTGAAAGTTGATCATTTCTTTTGTTTTGTTTTGAATAAGCAAGGTGAGAAAATATCAACTGGAATTATACCTGTGAATTTGATTATTATTATCTTTCTTAATCTGATTTTCCTACATTTTCATATGGAAATGTTCACGTGTTTGACTGCAGGTGTTGCCATTGGCAGATGTTACATCATATATGATACATACAACATTTTACCTTTCTCAAATCTGAAACTGTGTTTTGAGAAACATCTGGCCTTTATAGGTTTGTTTAAGAGATTGTGAGCCAATTTTCTGCCCATTTTAGAGATGTAGAAATCAAAACAGGATAGATGACTCTCAGAATTGCATTTTAGTAGATATGCTAATATTGATAATGATTTTAGGAATATTATGTCTTAATTGCCTGTATATGTTCCAGAGACCTTTTAGTGACTAAGAGCTGCCAAAGATACAGAGTGTATATTTTTAAAAAGGGAGTATGATCCAGTACTCAGGACACCAGTCCTTTCTCTGCCTTTTCTGAATGGAAATGTCTTTCCTTATACGTGAGTAGATGAAAATGCACATTTAGTAAGTTTTTACTAAAACTTAGTAAAAACTAATGATAAAATGAGTGAGGGAAAATTATGTATCCTGGCAATTTAGGTAACAGTGAGTAGACTTGCTTGTTTTTCAAACATATTGATATACTATTTTTCCATTTGTGTATTCAGATGTTGAAACAGCTCCAGTTTGTATTAGCATCTGGACAAAATGTAATGACTGATTATGTAATACAATGTGTTTGAGAGAGGAGCATTTGGTTTTGTGTCATATCTGGCAAGAATGTGCTTTTGTATTACTTTCTACATTGTAAATTATAATGCCTATCCTGCATACAAATTTTGTATTTAGTTTTCTGCTTGTAAGAATCTTTCATAGGTCAGTAAAATAAAATATTAAGTTTACTATGCCATTCCAAGCACCTGACTACTTTTGGCTTTGCTACTTAATATTTTTAAAATGTTTTACAGCTTGCAGAGAGGACTTTTATATACATTATCTTAATTTTATATATATTAAAATAAGTTTAAAACTTAGCATTTATGTTTATAAACAAGCTATTTTGGTCAATAAGAAAATTAGAAGTTGGGAATTATGAAGGCCGTTTTCATCTTCAGACTGGACTCAGAGTCTAATTTCTTTCTCATTTATTTTAGCGCTACTTTATAGAGAAAATCGTGATTTATTAAATCAAATAGATGTTAATGGAAGACTTGTTTTTGTTTGCATCTGATCATCTTGCAGATCCTGGATATTTAATCAAATTGATGCAGAAGTTTGAAAGACAAGCAGCAGTAGGAAATTTTTGTTTCAAGCTTGACTTTTCTGACAATATCCAACAGCTGCTCATATTTTTAAAAATTAGAAACATTCACTGAGAAACGTTAAAAACTTAAAAGCAAATACTGTGTTATAATGAGAATAGGTAATAACATATCATTGATGCTACACTTTACATATTATTGCACCATTATTCTGAGGTAATCATATGCCGAACAGATTACTGCACAAAGTAATGCTTTAGGGGTGTAGTTTTTATGGGAATGAACATGTCTGGCCTGAAATTAGAAAAAAAATTGGAGCCATAATCTTTCTAATCTATGCTTGCTTATGAGAAATTCTAGGTATATTTATGTCAGGCCAAACTATTTGCTACAGCAAACCGGTTAACCTGACATCTGAGATAGTCTTTAAAGTGTTTAAGTTTGGTATACAATGCACTTGTGTGTGTATATGACTCATCCTAAAATGGATGGATGTGTGTAAAAAAATTGTAATCCAATGCTTAAATGAATTTGTGAAGCACAAATAAGTGAAACACTAAGATGTTTCAGAGCATAGTTTGAAAATCCCTGTGCTCGATCACCAAAGTCACTTCCAACAGTAAAATTCTGTGTATTTTAAAAGTTCTTTTTCTATTCCCTGCACATGCAAAATTCATATAATTTAGCTGCTTTTTAGTAGTATTTGGATAGAAATTGTTTATTAAATTTAAAGTTGAGGCTCTGCTGGTTATATGTTAGCACTCTAGATGTTTTCAAGTAAATCCTTTAGTAATATGAGTGTTTAGTCTCTGCTTGACATTGTTATTGGATATATGACGGTGATCCAGACAAGTCTCCACCTTCATTAATGTAACATTCTGGAGGAGGAGACAGACAGTAAACAAATAAATAAACATAATTTCAGGTAATGGTAACTTAGGAAAAAATAAAGGGGGATAAAGGTACAGCAATTGATTAGAAATGGAAAAAAGATTAAGTAGGGTGATGAGAGAAGACTTCTGTGGAGGTATCAGTTGAGCAGAAAGGAGTAAGCCATGCAGAAATGTGGTTGAATGGTTTTCCAGGCAGAAGTAATAGAAGGCCCTGAGATAGGGTCAAGTTTTGTATGTTTGAAGATAAGAAATTTCATAAACAATTACTTAGTGCTTTCTGCATAAATGGGGGTAAGCTCTAAAGGGGAGAAGAGGTGATTAAAGCATAATGATCTGTGTCTTTCACTTCAGAAAATATTGTGGTGGACCCAGTAATCTGTAATAGGTTTTACAAAGAGCAATAGGAAGGAGGGATTATTTTTTATTAAGGTGCCTTGAAATTGTTTTCTACATCAGATGAATTGCAGGGGTTGAGGGGTGGTCTGTCTGGAGTACTGGAAAATGACATAGGAAAGCAAACTGAAAACTTTCCTTAATTCATGTGTTTATGTAGAATAATAAAACCTATACTTTTCTTAGAAATTAGTAATAAGTTTCATATTTAATTAGATTTTCTTGTACAGTCCAATAAATGTTACTTTGTGCTGTGCACTATTATAGTTGCACTGCGTAATTCCTCAAGTTAAATTTTTGTCATACTGTAGAAACATCCTAGAGTAGAGTAACTTTGTTTCAGGGAGTTAATGAGTTGGCTTCAAGGAGGTGATAAGTGAGCTCTGGGTTCTGAAGGGTGATTTGTAGTTAACTAGGTGGGGGAGGGTAGGGAATCAGCATTGTAAATGCACAAATCCTAGGAAAATGTTCTAGATTTGGAGAATGGTGAGGTAATCCTCCATAGCCCTTGATGGAATTCTGGGACCTCATAGGAGAAGTTAGTTGAAGGAATGAAGTAGCCACAGTATGAGGTCTTATCTTTTATGTGATGAGGGAACCATTAACCATTAGGAGGGGAAAAAAAAGCCAGTGAGATTGATAAGCAGATTCGTGTTTCAGGGGAAAGTTTAGATTCCACAGTCGATTTACAATTAAAATTATAAGCTTAATGGTGTATGTTTATGACATTTTTGAAAGATTATTTTCTCTCCATTAAACAAATTGAGTACTTTGCATTCATATAAGCAGGATTTTTATTTGTTAAGAACTGTATGACTTTGAAACTCTGTAGTCTATCTTTTAGAGAACTTGTTATATATGTAAATGAATGCCAACTGTTCAAGATTTTTCCGTTACTGGGGTGGAATTTTTGTATACGTTTTGGGGCAGGCAAAGTTTGAGTATTATCATCTGATGTAATGTGTTAGGCATGAGATTTAACATTCTTGGATAAATTGAAATAATACCAAGAAAATCTAAATCAGTGATAAAATCCCTACATAGGTGCTGATATTTATGTTATGTTACTAGAAGTGCTTATTTTACAATGCTATGATATGTGTTTGTGTGTTTCTCAAAATATATAACACTTGGATATATTAGGTTGCTAGCATTATCTGTTAATTGACATGCAGAAACAAATCCTAAATTAATGTTTTTAAAGAGAAAGAATTGCTTCTCTGAGAATGTAGTTTCAGCAAGTTATTTTTATTTTTATTTATTTATTTCTTTTTTTGAGACAGGTCTCACTTTGTCACCCAGGCTGGAATGCAGTATCATGATCACGGTGCACTGCAGCCTTGACCTCCTGGGCTTAATCAATCCTCCCACCTAAGCCTCCTGAGTAGCTGGGACTACAGGCGCATGCCACCATGCCCGGCAAATTTTTGTATCTTTTGTAGAGACAGGGTTCCTCCATGTTGCCCAGGGTGGTCTTGAACTCCTGCGCTCAAGCCATCTGCCTGCCTCATCTTCCCAAAGTGCTGGGATTACTGGCCTAAATTATTGCTTTTATTGTATGCATTATATACTATTTTATCATAACAAAAGTTAATGGTTCAACTATGGCATTTAGAGCTGCCCACGTAGCCTGATTGTCTATTTAGTTCACTTTTGACTGAGTAAAATGGAGCTGATCTATCTGCTATTAAAGAGAGTTATATTCTGAAATTTTACATGATGTTCATAATGCCTGGAACTAACCAGCCTGAAATGGAATCACCGTTGTACTGTTTTCAATTGGCTAGGTGACTTATTCTCCCTATACTTCAGTTTTCTCATTTGAAAAATGTAGATAAAAATAAATAAATAAAAACAAAGAAAAATGTAGATAAATAACAATACTTACCCAGTAGAACTGATGTAAGGATTAAAGTTTTTTGTGGGTTTTTTGTTCGTGTTCGTTTTGGAGTGGGACTTGTTAGGTTAAAGAGGAGCTTCTGGGGTATACAAGAATTAGCCACAATTTATTTCATAGAGTGCACTATACTCTTTTTTGTATCAGATTCGTAAATGTAAACAAGAATGCAGTCTTGCTCTTAGAGTCTAAACATGTTTTTCCTACCAGGAATTTTGTTTAGATGACCTTCTGTGAAGTAAGATGTGTAATATTTTGAGTAACATAAATAAATCGTCATATTGCTCTGTCTGTAGTACTTGGCAAAGCACAGGGCACATAATAGGCATTTAATAATTCCTGTGTTAAGTGGGATAAATCTAATGGGTTAGGATTCAGACAGACTGGTGTCTACCTTTTTCAACCTGAATAGTGCAGAGTTAGTTACCTGTAGTAGTTTTTTCTTCTGTGCCTGTTTTCTTCCTTAAAATTAATAAAATATTTTCTTCCCTTAAGTGTATTTAGTAGGTTTAAATATGACCCTGTAAAACTCCTGACAAGTAGGTATTTACTGTTGTTGGTTCCCATGCCATTTCCTTTATTTAGAGCAAAAATTGCAAAAATCCTGGAAGTTCAGAAGAAACACTTAGCACCTTTTATTTATTTTTTTGAAAGTTGAGAAATGTACCATTGAGTACGTGCTCATCTTTAATGAAGAGATAATATATTATTTTGGAAAGACTTCACACTTTGATTCAGATGATGGGTTCCAGTCTGGGCTCTATAAACTTACTAGCTGTGTGCCTGGACAAATCAATTAGTATTGAAGAGCCTCAGCTGTTTGATAATTTATACCTCCCAGTGTTGCTGATGGCAACTCAGATAATGAAAGAAAAAGTGTTTAACTGTAGAGCATGTCAAAGTATCATGATAATTATTCCTGATTATTAGTTACTGTAGTGAAACTAGTATAGTAGTTTCCCCTTAATTCAAGGGGAAATATGTTCTGAGACCCCAGTGGATGCCTGAAACTACAGATAGCACTGAACCTTATATGTACTGTTCCCCCCTATACATACATACCTATGATAAAGTTTAACTTGCACATTAGGTACAATAAGAGATGAGCAACAATAGCTAATAATAAAATAGGCCAGGCGCAGTGGCTCACGCCTGTAGTCCCAACACTTTGGGAGACCAAGGCGGGCAGATCACGAGGTCAGGAGATTGAGACCATCCTGGCTAGCACGATGAAACCCCGCCTCTACTAAAAAATACAAAAATTAGCCGGGAGTGGTGGCACGCGCCTGTAGTCCTAGCTACTCAGGAGGCGGAGGCAGGAGAATCGCTTGAACCCGGGAGGTGGAGTTTGCAGTGAGCCGAGATCACGCCACTGCACTCCAGCCTGGGGGACAGAGCGAGACTCTGTCTCAAAAAAAAAAAAAAAAGAACAATTATATAATATAAAAAAGTTAAATGAATGTGATCTCTCTCTCAAAACACCTCTTGTACTGTACTTCTTGTGATCTGTCAGTCTGATAATCAAGATAGTTACTAATGTGAATAAGGGGTGGGTAGCATATGTAGCAAGGATATCATGTCCCAGGTGGGATGGAGCGGGATGTCAGAAAATTTCATCACACTCCTCAGACTGGTGCCCAATTTAAAACGTATGAATTATTTATTTCTGGAATTTTCCATGTAATATTTTTGTACTGCGGTTCACCATGAATAACTGAAACTGAAGAAGAAGAAACCGCGGATAAGGGGAGAACTACTGTAGTTTCTTAAGTTGTATGATTGAATGATTCATTCATTTTTACCTGGTGATGCTGCTGCATTTGGGTGCTTTGCCCTTTATGCATTTTTATTTAAATAGATATCTGGTTTATTAGGCTAGGCGCAGTAGCTCATGCCTGTAATCCCAGCACTTTGGGAGGCCGAGGCGGGTGGATTGTAAGTTTTAGGAGTTCAAGATCAGCCTGGCCAACATGGAAAACCCTGTCTCTACTAAAAATACAAAAAATTAGCCAGGCATGGTGGCACGTGTCTCTAATCCGAGATGCTTGGGAGGCTGTGGCAGGAGAATCGCTTGAACCTGGGAGGCGGAGGTTGCAGTGAGTTGACATCATGCCAGTGTACACCAGCCTGGGTGACAGAGCAAGACTGCATCTCAAAAAAAAAAAAAAAAAAGAAGAAGAAGAAAAAAAGAAAACTGGCTTATTGGACTTTGGGAGGGGAGTTTGGAGAGATTGTGGGAGTGGTAAAAAAAGATTCTGCTATGTTCATCGGAGCAGGCCAGTTAATTGAGTATTTTTGCATGCTGAGGTCCTGATGCTTTCTCTATGTATCTATAGCAGGAAATTTACTTCATCTTAACTCCTGCTTCATTAGGGTAAAATATCATGATAATCTTTGGGGTATTCCCATTTTTGTAACTGTATTTGTGTCCTTTCTCTTTATCATTGTTAGCCAAGTGTATTTTTTGTGAACATCGTGTCTGTTTTTTTGAAATTCATTTTTAATTTATAGTTAGAGCATTGAGAATGTCAGTGCAGTAGTTTGAAACTCTTGTGTATTCTTGTGCATATGTGTATGAATAACTTACGCTGTTCTTTGTCCCTTAAATCTGTAAGATCTCTTGGGTACTGAGCCTTTTGAAGCATTAAAAGTAAATACCATATAAGGCAAGCAGAATAGTACTAAATAGCTGCAGTAGCAAAGCAAGGAAAGTGAATCACAGAGTAATGAATTTGGAAAATGACTGTCGTGCATTGTAGGAAAAGGCATTGCTTTTACTATCATCCTTGTAAAATCTAGTTGCTGACATTAAGTATTTGTTGTATGTGCTGATTATTTAATCGTGTACTGTAACAAAGGCACTTACAAGCAAAATACTTTTTCTTCTAAAAACATATACTGAAACTCTAGAAATTGGAGTACAGCTACCCTAAATCCTCAGTTAGTTTGCTATTCAATTCTTTCATATTAACTAAGGCAAATAATTTAAAATTGAGCAAATAACTCATATCTAAAACTTATTTATAAAACATATTTGTAATATAAAACATGAACTTCTAGAAGATCTACAGATTCTGGTCAAGATATGCCCCTTTATAATTTCAATAGTTTAAATAATGATTGTCAGGCACAGCAAAATACTCAGGCATCAGATACTCAGTTAACTCTGTTATGTTTGCTATTCTTAGAAGATTATTACCACACTTTAGAACAGTTTTCAATATCCAAGGCTGTTTGCTTATTTCACTGGAATTAACTAAAAGTAATTAGGGAATTCATTCCTCAGAATAATTTATATCCTAAGCTTTATGATGAAGAAGGCTTTTATTTCTAATTGTATATTCCAGCCTTGGACCAAAAATGTACATGCTAAAATATCAAGACAAGGCAAAGATATATTTTTGCTTTTCTGTCACTTAATACTATTTCAAAATAGTTTCAGATTTATCAATTGGCCCAGAAAAAGAGTATTTAATTCCTTTGATTTGGAACATCTGATTCAAATTAATGATTTGAGAAGTTTTTAATATACTTTGGGAACTTCAACTTGGAATTCTGAGGTAAATTGTTTTAAAGGGAAGATTCTTTTGTAATAGAAAGTTTCTCTATAACTTACCTATTTTGTAATTTTGGATTCTTGTATATTGATATGTATTATTACAGCATACCAAGGAAGTAATAGTGTTATTTACTGGTTTTTAAATTTTTATATGGAGTGAATTAAATGTGAGGTTCTGCTGAAGGAGACCTGTGGGTAAAAAAAAAAAAAAAAAAAAAGTGGTAATAGCATATACTTATTACAGAAAAAGTAGAAAGGTTGGTGAGAGAAGAAAATAAAAATCACTTCCAAGCCTATAACCTAGAGAACCGTTGTTAACTGAGGCAAACATTGCCATTTCCTTTGCATGCATGTGTTTGTAAGCTCTACAGTCTCTCGTTTTTCTCTCTGATTATTAAGGTAATATGGGGGATGTGAAAATGCAGGAGAGTTGTAATAAAGAGAGGAGAAAAAGCCACTCAGAGACATCCATGAAAGTTTGCATTTTTGTGATGAAGAAATTGGAGTAGACATGGTAATTTGTAACCTGTATTGAAAAAACAAAACTGACACCATAAGCATTTTCCAGTGTCATATATTTATCCAAAACAGGATTCTTAATGGCCAGAGCATAACTGATTTAATGATTGTGTATGATTGAACATTTTATTTTTTTTTTACTTTTATAAATAGCACTGTGATGAACATTCTTGTACCTGAATTGTTTGTACATTTATTTCTTTAGAAGAAATTTCTATAAGTACAATCATTTCAAAGTATATGAATTTTGGAGGTAAGCAGGTCCAGTGCTTAGCCAATTGCTGTGTCCTTAGTGAGATTACTTTTCAAGCCTTAGTATTCTCTCTGTAAGAACAGGTATAATATACTTAACTCAGAGGTTAGAAGGAGTAAATGACAACATATGTATAGCATTTAGCACATCCGATAGTATACAGGATACTCTCAGTGAGTCTTTCCCCAACTACCCCCTTTTTTTTTTTTTTTTTTCTTTTTGAGACGGAGTCTCGCTCTTTCGCCCAGGCTGGAGGGCAGTGGCACCATCTCGGCTCACTGCAAGCTCCGCCTTCCGGGTTCACGCCATTCTCCTGCCTCAGCCTCCCAAGTTGCTGGGACTACAGGTGCCTGCCACTGTGCCCGGCTATTTTTTTGTATTTTTTTTTTTAAGTAGAGATGGGGTTTCACCGTGTTAGCCAGGATGCTCTCGATCTCCTGACCTCGTGAGCCACCTGCCTCGGCCTCCCAAAGTGCTGGGATTACAGGTGTGAGCCACCGCGCCCGGCCCCAACTACCCTTTTCTTAAGTAGACTCTTCTTCCCTAGCATCTATTGTAATTAGCTATTACGCTAAAAAAATTTTGTCTTTCATTCCACCACTAGATCATGAGTAGGGACAAGTTCAGTCTAGTTCATTAATGTATATTGAAAACTCGTACAGGCCTAACAAATGTAAATATGTTGGATGTATGAAAAGTTATCTTCCAAAGCTTTTAATATTCAGTTGCTTTTTTTCTTACAGCAAAGCTGTGCCAGTTTACATTCTCTGCAGCTCTGTGTAAATTGTGTCCTTTTTAATTTACTGTCACTGATACTGAGTATGTTGTGTTAACAAAAAGTTCTAAATTTCAAAGTTATAAACTGATAATTTTAAAAACTTGTATTTTTTGGCTTTTTCTCTGAAGAAGCAATATTTTATATTCACTTCTATTTTCACGTTTTCTGTTTATGTTTTTCATTCTTACTAATAAGAATAAAGACAAAATAAGAGTAATATGTTATAGTCCTGTCCGTGGTCCCCTCCCAAGCATTATTCCATACTTCCTGGGAAGAAAAAGTAAATAGCATCACACAATTATGAGACAGGGTTAATATACAGAAGTACCATATCAAAACTGATCTCCAAGGGGTTTAAACTGGATAAACTTACGGTGAAAAAGTTTAAAAGAATTTTTGCCTAATTTAATTTACTGTATTAACACTGAAAATGTAGGTTAAGATGTTATGTTAAAATCAGATTGTATTTTCAGTATTAAGCTTATGTTTTCTGGAGGGCTTCAAAATCACTTTCATATCTGTGGATGTATTTGAAAATAGTATTTTGCTTGTGGGAAGTAGGCAAAGACAAGTAATATTTAGGTATTGTATTAGATATTTTATGTTACTCATTCATTAATTTAACAAATATTTATTTAACTCCTACCGTGTGCCCCAAGTGCTATTCCAAAAGAATATAGCAGTGTACAAAATAAAATCTATATAGATACATATAATCTGACAGATGGTGGTAAGGATAAGGAGGAAAAGAAACTAAGGGAAAGTATGGAGTGTGTATGAGGTGCAGATTTAAATAGGCTGGTCAGGGAAGTCCTTTCCCACTGATTTCCCCTCAAGGCGTGAGCCTGTGGTGAGGGAGCAATCCTGTGCTTGTTCAGGAGAAAGGGCTTTCAGGAAGGGACAACAACAAAGAACAAAAAACCTGAGAGAGACGGATTCTTGATGTCTTATGATTAAAAAATTGCAAAGCAGTATGTGTGGCTAGAGTGTAGTGGGAAAGGAAGAGAATGGTAGATGGGTACAGAAAAGGGCAAATGAGGAAAGACTTTGCTAGGCTACCATAAGGACATTTTTACTTACAGTAAAATATACCTTGTATATACTCTTCACAGTTGTTACACGAGGTTAGCTGAATTTTTCCCATTTTACAGTTGAGTAAATAAGGTAGGTTCTAGCATATAACTGGTAATTAACTTCTTCAAGGTCACATAAGCTAGCCAGTAAGATCCAGAGTCAGGTCTTTGACTTCAAAACCTCCTGAATTTTTGTTTGTACTGTTCTTGTTCAAGCATACTTACAGAGCCTTTCACTTTTACAGTGAAATTCAGACCGGGCTTAGTTTTTAGTGTTGATCTAGGGTGAGTTTTCATGCAGGGCTTATTTTTTTTTAATATCCATAGGAACTAATACCATTCTTATTTTTAAATCAACTTTGTCAAGGAAGTTTACATATAATACAAGGTACCCGTTTAAGTGTCCTTTTTTAAATTAGTTTTCACAAATTTATACACCCGTTTAACCATCACCATCATTCAGATACAGAATATTCCCATCAACCCTCAAGTTCACTGATTCCATGGAGACCCCAATCATGGCCCTGGCAACCACAGATCTGCTTTCTGTCAGTATATTTGAGATTTTTTCTAGAGATTCGAACAAACGGGTTTGTAGGTACTGCATTGTTTTGTGCCTTCTTTTGCTCAACATAATTTCATGACTTATTTATGTTGCATGTATCAGTTGTTCACTTCTGTTGGATATTGTTTTGTTGGCTAGTACTCTTCTAACTGGTGCCTGAAACGTTTGTTGAATGAATGCATATAATAAATATCCTCTTCCCCCAGTTTTGCCGCTTTCCTTTATCATGAGACTGCTAAAACCTCTTCTAGATTTTGTATGTTGCTAGACTTAAATTTGTGTATAGAGTATTTGAAGAGATAATAGTGAAAAATGTGCATGATTTGGAGCTCAGTATTTGTTAAAAAGACTGTTTTCTCTATTTATTTATCTTAGTACCCTTCTCTAAAATGAGCTGACTGTATATGTGAAGCTTTATTTCTGGACTCTCAATTCTGTTTCATTGATTGGTATGCCTATCCTTATGCCAGTATCCCTTGATTACGATCTGCAATTTTGAAAACAGGAATTTTTGAGAATCCTCCAACTCTGTTCTTTTTCGAGATTGTTTTATTAGTATCTGCTCCATGAATTTCCATATGAATTTTAGAACTAGCTTGCTAATTTCTCCAAAGAAACCAGGTGGAATTTTGATAGAATTGTGTTGAAACTGAACATGGGATGTCTTTCTATTTATATAGTTATTTAATTTCTTTTTTTTTAATCAATTGAGTACCAAAATAGACTTTAATTTCTTTTAAGAATGTTTTGTAGTTTTTATGGTATGTTTTGTATTACTTTTGTTAAACTTACACCTAAGTGTTTTATTCTCTTGGATGCTTCAGAAATGGAGTTATTTTCTTAATTTCATTTTTGGATTGTTCATTGTTATTGTATAGAAATGCAATTAATTTTGGCGTATTGATTTTGTACCCTGCAACCTTGTTGCACTTGTTTACTTAATTATTATAAAACATTACTATTAATAAAATCTTAAGTATTAAACTGCTATGTAAACTGTTGTATATTTTCAAGTCTCCTGTTGACTTATCTTGTATCTAGTTGTTGTATTCATTATTGACATGGAGTATTAAAAGTCTCCCAACCACTGTTGTTGAATTGGCTATTTTCTCTCTTCAGGTGTCAGTTTTTGCTTCATTCATTTCGGTGCTCTTTTGTTAGGTTTATGTGTTTATAATAATCTTTTTAGTGGCTTCTTTAGGATTTTCTTATCTATGATATCATGTAATCTGCAATTAGAGGTAGTTTCACTTCTTCTTTTCCAATCCAGATGCATTCTATTTTTTTTTTTTTTGCCTAATTGTTCTGGCTAGAATCTTTAGTACAGTATGAAATAGAAATGGCAATTCTGTTTAGTGGACAACCTTGTATTATCTCTGATCATATAAGGAAAGCATTCAGACTTTCACCTTTGAGTATATACCTGTGTTTTTGTTTTTTTTTCCATGGATACCTTTTATCAGTTTGAGGATGTTCCTTTCTATTTCTAGTATGTTGAGTGCTTTTATTATGAAGGGCTGTTAGATTTTTTCAGATGCTTTTTTTGGTGCATCTTTTGAGATGATCATGTGGTTGTTCTAATATGTTGTATTACATTATTTTGTTTTTATGATGTTGAACAGTTCTTGAATTTTTGGGATAAATCCAACTGGTCATGTTGTATAATCCCTATTTTGCTGTATTTGTTTTCTGGTATTTTGTTGTGGATCTTTGTGCCTATTTTCTTTCTTTCTTTTTTTTTTTTTTTTTTTTTTTTTTTGAGACGGAGTCTTGTTCTGTTGCCCAGGCTGGAGTGCAGTGGCATGATCTCGGCTCACTGCAACCTCCACCTCCTAGGTTCACGCCATTCTCCTGCCTCGGCCTCCTGAGTAGCTGGGACTACAGGCGCCTGCCACCATGCCCAGCTAATTTTTTTGTATTTTTTAGTAGAGACGGGGTTTCACCATGTTAGCCAGGATGGTCTCAATCTCCTGACCTCGTTGTCCTCCTGCCTCAGCCTCCCAAAGTGCTGGGATTACAGGCGTGAGCTACCACGCCTGGCCAGTTTTTGTGCCTATTTTCATAAGATATATCAGTCTGTAGTTTTCATTTCTTGAGATTTCTTTGATGTTGTTAACTGGATAATAATGGTCTTGTAAAATGAATTAGGAAATGTTCCAGGTTCCAAAACTCTTCTCTGTTTTAGAAGAGTTTGTGAAGAATTGGTATCAGTTTTTCTTAAAATTGGTACAATTCACCAGTGAAGCTGCCTGGGCCTGAGATTTTTTTTTTTTTTTTATGGGAAGTTTTAAAATTACTAATGCAATCTCTTCACTTGTTACAGGTTTATTCAGATTGTCTGTTTCATCCTAAGTCAATTTTGATAGTCTGTGACTTTGTAAGAATTTGTCCCTTCCCTTTAGTTATTTAATTTGTTAGTATTCAGTTCACATTATTTCTTTACGATCCTTGTTATGCCTACCCTACAAAGTTGTAGTAATGTACTGTTTCTTTCCTGTTTTTAGTACTTTGAGTTTTCTTTTTTTTTCTTTTCTTGGTCAGTTTAGCTCAAAGTTTGTCAATCTCTTTATCTTTTTAGATAATAAACTTTAAAAAGTATTTCTCATTTTTTTATTCTCTAGTTCACTTATATCGGCTCTCATCTTTATTATATCCATTGTTTGCTTTTGGTTTAGTTTGCTCATCTTTTTCTAGGTTTTGTTTTGTTTTGTTTTGTTTGAGACGGAGTCTCGCTCTGTCGCCCAGGCTGGAGTGCAATGGCGCAATCTCGGCTCACTGCAAGCTCCACCTCCCAGGTTCACGCCATTCTCCTGCCTCAGCCTCCGAAGTAGCTGGGACTACAGGCGCCCGCCACTACACCCGGTCAATTTTTTTGTATTTTTTAGTGGAGACGGGGTTTCACCGTGTTAGCCACGATGGTCTCGATCTCCTGACCTCGTGATCTGCCTGCCTTGGCCTCCCAAAGTGCTGGGATTATAGGCGTGAGCCACGGCGCCCGGCCTAATTACATAATTATTTTTATCAGTCTGTCAAGTTTGCTAGCAGTGAATTCTGCCAATCCATCTTAATCTCCAAGTTTATTTTGCCTTATTTTTTTTTCCGGTTATTTGTGTTTTTTGCGATGGAGTCTTTCTCTGTTACCCAGGCTGGAGTGCAGTGGTGTGATCTCGGCTCACCGCAACCTCTACCTCCCGGGTTCAAGCACTTCCCCTGCCTCAGCCTCCAGAGTATCTGGGATTACAGGCGCCTGCCACCACACCTGGCTATTTTTGTATTTTTTGTAGAGATGGAGTTTTGCCATGTTGGCCAGGCTGGTCTTGAATTCCTGACCTCAGGTAATCTGTCTACCTCGGCCTCTCAAAGTACTGAGATAACAGGCATGAGCCACCACACCCGGCCTATTTTGCCTTTTTTGAAGGATGGTTTTGCTGGATATAAAATTCTTTATTGACAGTTTTTTCTTCATTGTTTTGAATATGTCATCCTACATCTTTCTGGCCACCATTATTTCTAATGAAAAGTTAGTTGTGACAAGTCACTTTTCTCTTGCTGCTTTCAAGAGTCTTTTTGTCATTGGCTTCCAACGTTTTGTGCTATGATGTTTCTGGGCATGAATCGTTTTGTTTACCCTACTTGGTAACTCTTCTTGGATGTGTAGATTAGTGTTTTTCTTCAATTTCAGAGGTTATCAGCCATTATTTCCTGAAATATTTTTCTGTTCTTTTCTCTCTCCTTTCTTCTTACTCCCATTACACATATGTTGATTCACTTAATAGTATCCTATGCTTTTTTTTCCTGAGGTTTTGTTCACATTTTTTAATTAATTTTTCTCTGAATTGCACAACCCTATGAATCTGTTGTCAAATTTACATTCTCCTTGTTCTCCTGGTTCAGATATGCTTTTGAGCCCCTCTTATTTTTGAGCCTCTGAATTTTTCAGTTCATTTTACTTGTTAACTACATAATATCTCTTTTTTTCTTATCTCTTTCTTAAAGATAAGACATTGTCACATCACACTTTCCTTTACGTCTTTGATCATGATTTCCTTAAATTATTGAATATATTTTTAACGACTGCTTTGAAGTCTTTATTAAGTCTGACATCTTGGCTCTTAAACAGGCAGTTTTCGTTGACTGCTTTTTCACCCTGTGTATGAATTACTTCTATTTATTTGCATGTCATAATTTGTGGGCGAGAGGCTGGACATTTTACATGAACTTTGCAGCATCTCTGGATACTGATCTTTCTTCTCCTTTGTGCTTGTTTGCTTGTTTAATGGCTTGGCTGGGCTTTTTCAATGAAGTTTTATATTTCTTGCCGTGTGAAGTGCCTGATGTCACCCATGAGAGGGTACAGCCTTGGACATGGGCAATTATATTGGGATGACAGTGATTTTAGTAGGACCATTTCCGATTGTCTTTTTCACTTATATATATCTGTTAAAACCTCTGCTTCTGTTGGTGTCACACCCAGATATGATAGCCTTTACTAACTGCTGGTGACTGCTCTTTTGTTATTAACAGTTCTCTGGAGCATAAATTTCTCCACAGTGAGATCAAATTAAATTTTGGCCCCTTTGTAGGGGCATTTTTTTGAGGCTAGTCTTCAGTGTTTGTTATGAACTGCGGAGGTCTGTTCCTAGCTATCTCTCTTCCCAGTTCTCTTTGGTACACTAGCTAGCCCGTGGTTTAACTTGTTCCTGTCTTAGAGCTACCAGCTTCCTTTTAGTTGCTTACTGCCCAAATCTCCATATTTTTGAGGGTACCCTTAGGCTTGAACTTCTCTACACTCTGTCCCAAATAAAGTCTTTTCTTTTTGGGAGGCTTTTAGAGTTCTCTGCTCTTAGGTCTGCTCCTGCTCTGCAGCAGAATCTCTGAGCCACTACCAGTGGGCAGGGTGGTAGCCTCTAGTCTTTTTGGCTTACCTATCCCTGTGTGTAACCACGGTCTTATGAGTGAGATGGGTTGAAGGCAAATGGGGCCCCTGTGTTCTAGGCCTGTCATGTTTACGGTAGAGCCTCTGCCTGTGTTTTGAGGCTGGTGGCAGAAGTGAGGGAGTTGAGTATAAGAAATTCTGTTGGCCTGTCTGTCCTGGAGAGATACTCTAACCCTTGACTGGAAACTAGGCAGGGAGAGAGCCCTGTCTTGACCCCATCTGCCAGGATTAGAAATTTCATTATGCTGAGCGGGCAGAGGGAAGAAAGGGGCAGTGTGGCTCAGATACTATAGATTCTTGCTATTTCTATTGAGATTTAGTAGATTATTTAAAATAAAATAGTTTTTCGTTTGCTGTATTCCCTTAGAACACTCCCCAGAGCACTGAGTTTTTGTTTTCTTTTCAAGCAGTTTTCTCCAATTATGTTTTTTTTCATTGATTGAATTTTGACAATTAAGTCAGTCTTATTTTCTCTGGATAAACCTTACTTGTTCGTAGATCTTTGGGCATTTTATTGAATTTGATTTGCTAATATTTTGTTGAGAATTTTTGCCTTTATATTTATGAGGAATATTGGTCTTTAATTTTTTTTTGTTTGTTATTGTTTTCTTGTTTTTAGTTTTGGTATCAGTAATGCCTCAAAAATGACTTAAGTGTTTTGTGTCCCATTTTCTGGAAAACATGTCAAGTTGGTATTACTTCTTCTTTAAGTGTTTTGGTAGAGTTCACTAGTAAAACTACCAAACCTGGAGTTTCGTTTTGTTTCTTCTCTTCTCTTCTCTTCTCTTCTCTTCTCTTCTCTTCTCTTCTCTTCTCTTTCTTTCTTTTTTCTTTCTTTCTCTCTTTCACTGTGAGTTCATTTGTTTCTGTAGGTGTAAGACTTCAGGTTTTTTGAGGAATAGGTGCATTTCATCTAAGTTGCTGATTTTATTTTTATAGAGTTGTTCTGGTATTATTATCCTTTTAATGCCTGTGGGTTCTATATTTTCTCTTTTATTCCTGATAGTGGTAGTTTCTGACTTTTTTCTTTGTCAGTCTGCCTTAGAGGTACATCAGTTTTGGTGATTTTCCTTTTAAAGAATTAGATTTTCTGTTTTGTTTAATTCTTTTTTTCAATTTCTGTGTTTTTTCCTCTCATCTTTATTTATTATTTTTGTTTACTTTTGGTTTATTTTGTGCCCTTTTTCAAGGTTTTTGAGATGTAAGCTTAGGTGATTGACCTGAGAGCTTTTCAAAGATAAGCACTTGAAATTATAAATTTCCCCTTGAGTACTAATTTGGTTACATCCTACAGATTGTATGTTTTATTTTTGTTTTCAATCAGTTCAAAATATTTCTAAATTTCCCTTTATAATACCTCTATGACCATGGATTACTTAGATATGCACAGTTCAATTTTTATGTATTTGGAGATACTTTCCAGTTTCTCATGTCACTTTTTAGTGTAATTCTCTTATAGTCAGAAAATATTTGTATGAATTCAATTCTTTTAACTTTTTTTTTTTTTTTAAAAGAACTAAGATGCAACTAATTTGATGAATGTTTCATTTTCTCCTTTTAGGAATTTGTAATCTACTGTCGTTGATGTTGTATTATTATTATTATTATTATTTTTCAGACAGAGTTCTCTCTTGTTGCCCAGGCTGGAGTGCAATGGCGCCATCTTGGCTCACCACAACCTCCACCTCTGGGTGGAGGCTGAGGCAGTAGTTCAAGCGGTTCTCCTGCCTCAGCCTCCCCAGTAGCTAGAATTATAGGCATGCACCACCATGCCCAGCTAATTTTGTATTTTTAGCAGAGATGGGGTTTCTCCATGTTGGTCAGACTTGCCTCAAACTCCTGACCTCAGGTGATCCGCCCACCTTGGCCTCCCAAAGTGCTGGGATTACAGGCGTGAGCCACAGCACCCGGCCGTTGAAATTATATTCTATAAATGTCAATTAGATCTAGTTGGTTAATGATGGTGTTCTGTTTTTCTGTATCCTTGCTGACTTTTGTTTACTTGCTTTATAATTACTTAGAGGAGTATTGAAATTTCCAAATGTAATGCTGGAATGGTCAGTTTCTCCTTTCAGGCTTATTAGTTTTTGGTATTTTTAACTTGAAGCTCTGTTGTAAGTGCGTACACATTTAAGGGATATTATGTCTTCCTGGTAAGTTGGCCTTTTTATCATTATTTAACATACATTTCTTAGCCCTGGTAATATTTTTTAATTGCTCTGAAGTGTACTTATTCTGATGGTAAGGTAGCCACTCCAGCTTCTCTTTGTTTACTTTTTGCATGGTATATCTTTTTTCACCTGTATGTTTCCTGTAGACAGCATATAGTCTTTTTTTTGTTTTTTTAACCATTTTGACAATCTCATTCTTTTGGACTATCTATATCTAATATAATTATTGTTCTATTTGGATTTAGATAAACCCTTTGCTTTTTTAAATTTTCTGTTTGTTCCATTTGCTTTTTCACTCATGTGATTGATTCTTCTTTCCTGCCATCTTTTGGATTATCTGACTACTTTTAATATTGCATTTTACTTATTGAGTTTTTTAGTATATTCTTTGTGTATTTTTTTTTAGAGATTACTTTAGGGATTACAATGCACATTCTTAACTTTTCAGAATTTACTTATTATGTCAGTTTCCTGGGGCTCCTATAATAAATTGCCACAAACTGTAGCTTAAAATACCAGAAATTTATTCTTTCATGGTTCTGGAGGTTGGAAGCCCCAAATCTCAAGGTATCATCAGGGCCGTAAATCCTTTGAAGGGTATAGAGAAGAAACCTTCCTTCTAGTTTTGGTGGTTGCCAGCAATCGTGTTCCTTGGCTTATCCCTGCATCACTCCAGTCTCTGCCTCTGTTTTCACATGGTCTTCTTTCTCTTCCCACTGTGTTTCTGTACTTAATCGCTCCTTTCTTTTGTGAAGACACAAGTCATTGGATTTAGGGCCTTCATAAATCCAGTATGACTTCCTGTTAATTTGGTGAGATTTGCAATGACTCTGTGGCCAAATAAGGTGAAATTCAGAGGTCCTGGGGGTTAAGTCTTGAACACATCTTTTTTGAGTACACAACTCACTGCACTGCACTTATATCACTTCAAGTGGAATGTGGAAACCTTGTCAGCATGTAGTTCCCTTTACTCATCCCCTTTTATGTTGTAGTTTCATATGTATTACATTTGTATACTTCAGATACTCGTCACACAGTGAGGTCACTTGCTTTCAACTATCATCATGTTTTAAAGGATTTAAGAGGAAAAGAATAGTCTATCACAGGGATTGCAAACTATGGCTGCAGGCCAAGTCTAGCCTGACATCTGCTTTTTGTAAATAAAGTTTTATTGGAATACTGCCACATTTGTTAGTTTATATATTGTCTCTGGCTGCTTTTGCACTACAATGCAGAATTGATTAGTTACAATGGAGACTGTTAGGCTTGTGAAACTTGAAATATTTTCTATCTGGCCCTTTACAAAGTATTTACTATCTGACCCTTTACGAAAAAGTTTGCCAACTCCTGGTCTGACATGTACACACACATATTTTCCATTTTTTTCCCATTCATTCATAAAACTCTAAGTTTTCTACCGGTATTATTTTCATTTTGTCCAAAGAATCTTCCTTTCTTTATAGCAGGTCTGCTAGCAATGAATTCTCTTAGTTTCTTTCATCCGAAAGTGTCTTTATTTCACCTTTGTTTTTGAAGGATGCTTTTGATCCATGTAGAATTCTGGGTGGACAGTTCTCTCGGTAGCAATTAGCTAGAGTAGAGTAGCAGCAACTGCCTTCTTTAGGTGGTCTGTGGACCTTCCAGTTTGCCATACTTTTTGATACTTTCTCTTGTCTCTTTGACATTGATACCCACTGCCATTCTTGATATTTACTATTGTGCCTATGTGGTGGTTTTTCTTATCAAAGGATCAGAAGAAAGTAAAATTTATTTGTTATTTTCTGAGACAGGGTCTTGTTCTTTTTCCCAGGCTGGAGTGCAGTGGTGCAGTCAGGGCTCACTTGCAGCCTTGAACTTCTGGGCTCAAGTGATCCTCCCACCTTAGCCTCCCAAGTAGTTGGGACTACAGGGTGCGTGTGCCATCACGCTCAGCTTATTTAAAAAAAATTTTTTTTTTTTTGGTAGTGATGGGGTCTCACTATGTTGCCTGGTCTGGCCTCGAACTCTGGGCTCAAGTGATTTTTCCTACTTTGGCTTCCCAAAGTGCTGGGATTACAGGTGTGAGCCACCACACCTAGCCAGAAGTAAAATTTTTACTGTACTCCTGTTTCTATGTAGTGGGAAAACAAAATCATAAGTCCGTGTTTCAAGAAATGTGGGAGAAACAATAATTTTTAATGGCATTTGGAATGTTTATACATGTCCGGTATGCAAAAAGGATCATACCTGTTTTCAGACTTGTCTTTTTAAACACTTGAGTTGGCATCTTATGCTGCAACATATATTTTCAAAATGCTTTAACATCTCACCCATCATTTTCTTTTTCAAAGTAGCACTTTTTCCTGTATAATTTATGTCTTTCCCTAATAACTTTTTGGCATATATTTTCAGTGTCTTTGCCCTGTCTTGCTTTCTTATAGCCAAGTCACATCAAAGTTGATTTAGCCCTGGGTTGTGAATCAGAAATGCTGGATTCTGTTTTCTCTCACTCTGTCACTAATTAGCTGTGTGTATGAGACCTTGAACAAGGTTAGGCCTACCAGACTACAATGTATCTCTGAAACAAGGTGTTTAAACTCAATTTCGCTCTGAAGCTTTTTTTTTTTAAGCTTTTTTTTTTTTTAAGGTCTTTACTATTCGAAGTTACTCTCTGCCAACAACCTTGTTCATGCTGTGATATTCTCATCCAGAGGTTATTAATATTTTTTGTTCCATGAACCTTTTTGGCTCTCTGGTGAAGAATGTGGACCCCTTCTCAATAATAGTTTACATGTGCAAAATTAAATACATATGCTTATGAGGTCACCAGTTATATTGGAGTACAGTTTTTAAAATATTGACTAAACAAACTCAGTAACATGCATATCAACACGAAGTCTACTGGTATATAGTATTAATAACTTTTAGACTTGTGATGAATATAAATGATAATTTGAGATTTGAAGCAACTAAAGTGATATGAAAATATCTGTGGTTTCTAGTGGTAACAAAAATCATCACAGGTGCCTCTAGCACCACTGTGGCTTGTTACCTACATTTTAAATTAAGGAAATACTAAATTTCAGTTAGAGGTTTGTAAAATTAAAGCTCTAGCTTTTTTACCCCAGCCAAGTTTATGTACCTTCTGCATTCAGTCAAAAGACTGAAGATTTATAGAACCTGGTTAAGAATTCTGTCTTTTCCAGCCCATGAGACATTTGGCTTAGTGCCTAATATATATTAGGTGAACATAAGTTATGTGTAATACATATGAAATACATTCCTCAGTGAAAAAGTATTGCTAATAAAGGTTTTAATATTATTGCCATTTGTGACCTTGTGTTAATTATAATTAGTGCTTTATAAATCCATAGAGAACAATTGGCAAACACAGAGTTTTATTTACTACCTGGCATATAGTAGGGCTCAGTATTTTTGGAAGGAAGTTAGAAGAGTCTCTGATTATTAGTATCAATGATTTTTGACCATTTTATTTTTAAATACTTGTTTCAAAATCTCTGGTAAATTTCTGTGTGAAATAATTTGTTTACTTTAGTATTTCTTGACAGGGAATACAGGTATCCCCTATAAATGGCAAGCTGCTATAGTTATCCTTAGTATAACACATGATAAACTGAAACTTAGTTCTTAGATAAATAAAGCAAACAATACGTTTGTCTGCACTGCCTGAAAATTTTGAATTGCACAATTTTTCAAATATTCTCAATTCAGTAGCAGTGAAACAACACATATTGAGGTTAAAGTTCTTTACATTAATAGTATACTACCACTGTTCTTAGAGTAGACTCATACCCCTACTTCTTTGATTCTAGGTTTACTCTAATTTTAATGTTTCTCCTGGAAATGTAAGTCCTAAGTTTTTATAGGGCTTTTTAGTTGCCTTCTTCCTCCTCATAGGAAAATATCCATTTGTTAAATAAAGATATTAATATATACAGAAATATGTTTGTAACCAATATTCTTAAACCTACACTTAACTGACCCACTCTTTTAAACAAACCATTATTTTAGATTCTTAGTCCTGAGTATTCTGAGCATTTATAGCTAGTAAACTACTCTCTAGTTTACCCTTGTACCCTTTTCTCCACCAGGTTAGTTATATGCCTAACAAGAATCAGTTTTTATGCCAATGTTAATGTAATTTTTACTTTAAATGTGATCTAAGTGAATAAAATATGAGCACAGAAAGATAGAACTATTGTTTTAATGAAAAGCACGGTGAATGGTTCGGAAGGACTTATATAAAGTTCTTTACAAATTGCTAAAGGATTAGGTGTGGATAAGCCCAGAGGTTTAGGAAACTTTTGGTTCAATTGACTAAACAGTATGGAAAACTATTTTCTCACATATCTGGAGGAATGGAAGCTTTTGTGTGGTTGGTTAATGCAGTGGTTTAATAATTAATTCCAGGGTCAGATTCTTTCTGTTTGTTCTGCCATTGTCAGAGTGTCAGCTTGTCCACAGGCTAGCTCTCTTTATGGTTACAAGATGGATATAGTAGCTCTAGTTGTGCTATTCTGATATAACAACACCTATTGGGGAAAGAGGGTCTGTTTTTTCTTTCTTTCCTAGAATCCTACCATCAGTTTTTCCCTTATGTCTCACTAGCCAGGATTGGTTTAAATGCCCTTTCATAAATCAATTACTGACAAGAGGGATAGGATTACCAAATTGGCTTACACTGATCACATTTCCTTTTTTTTTTTTTTTTTTTTTTGAGACAGGGTTTCTTGCCCAGGCTGGAGTGCAGTGGCACAATCTCAGCTCACTGCAACCTCTACCTCCCAGGTTCAAGCGATTTTACTGCTTCTGCCTCCTGAGCGACTGGGATTACAGGCACCCACCATCACGCCTGGCTAATTTTTGTATTTTTAGTAGAGATGGGGTGTGCCATGTTGGCCAGACTGGTCTTGAACTCCTGACCTTAGGTGATCAGCCCGCCTCAGCCTCCCAAACTGCTAGGATTACAGGCGTGAGCCACTGTGCCCGACCAGCATTTACTCTTGAACCATGTGGGAAAGTTTGAATATTTGGACAACTATGGTGGTCACAGATAGAAGGGCTTTTAGAGTGTCAACCAGGAGTGTTTGCTATGGTGAGACAGCTATTAAAAAATTAGAAAGTATTTGTTAAATTTCAGAAAGATTCTGCTATTTATTTGCCTTTAAGGTCTTGTTCAACTTTAAACAAAATTGAAACTGGACATCTTAAAAGATGCATTATAGATGTGCATTATACAAAAAATGATGTGAAAAGTTAATTACTAATCCTACACTCAAAAGCTTGTCCTACGTCAGACTATCAAGGGGGAATAAATGTCCATTTGTATTTTAAAAGTATTTGATTTGGCAGGAACTAACTTTTAAAATTAACCTTCCGGTTGCTGGTCTTTTTCTTACTAGACAAGGTGCTTCTGCTGCAGTCCTTGTAAGGAAAATGATGTTTCCATAAAATTAAAGTTAGTAAAGGATTTAGTATATTTCTTGTGCTTCATTTATTCAGTAAAATGTATCTGTTATGTATCACTTATTGTAGGTACTTGTGATAACAGTGATAAGCTTAATAGACAAGGTTCTTCTGCTTAAGGAACTTCAGGGATACAGACAGAAAACAAATGAGAACAAAATTCAGACTGTTGGGTGTTCAGTGAAGGCCTTTCTGAAAAGAGATAGTCAAGCAGACATGTTAACGTCAAGAAGCAGTTTGGCATTTGGAGATTTGGGGTAAGATCGTTGAAAAGGAGCAGCAAATATAAAGGCCCTAAATTGAGAACTGACTGGATGTGTTTGAGAAACACAAAGAAAGGCAATATGGCTAGTACTTACTGAGATATTCTCACTTCTTTTCTTACTCTTTGTTTTCTTACCTATCATTAGTAATCACTATATTGCTTATACCGTTAAGTCTGTTGCTTCTCTCATGCTTCTTAATACTCACAACTTTTGGTTAAGTCTGCTTCTACCTATACTGTTCCTGCATCCCTGCAGTTGTGTGTGGCTAGAGAACACCAGCCTCCCATGGGTCCTTAGTACTACTTGGCAATTCTACCTACTGTCGTTCCTCTAATCCCTTCACTCTCCCTTTCTTAGAAGACCTTTTCCTCCCTCCTCAGACCTGTAACACTTCCTCCCATATTCTTATGCTCACCCGATAACTTCATTTCTTATTTTACTAAGAAAACAGAAACAGCTGAATGAGAACTTCCATAGCTTTTATTACTATGGCCTACCTGAATCTGTTCCTGTTTACTATCTTTGTTTCTGTTTCTATTGATGATATATCTTTGTGCCTATCTAAGGCCATTCTCTTATTAATGCCATCCACATCTGCTCAGAGTCATTACTCCAGTAATTTCTCTCTCTCCATCTTGTATCATCAGCATTTCCCTCTGTGCCATAATTTTTCCTGTCTTTAAAAAAAGCCTTCTGTCAACGCTAAATTTTTTCAGCTATTACCATTTTTCACTTTTATGGCAAAACTTCTTGAAAATGATGTCTGTACTTTGTCTCCAGTTTCTCTCTTCCTGTTCTCTTGTGAATCCAGTCTAGTTAGTACATTTATTTCACCAAAGCTATCTACGAAGATTACCAAGTAGGTGATCTCCATGCTGCAATCCAAAGATTAATTCTCATCTTTTTTTTTTAGTCAACAGCATTTTGAAACAGTTGATTACATTCTTCCTTGAACCACTTATTCCAGTTAACTTTCAAGATATCTACCATACTCTCTTTGGTTTTCATCTCCCTCGCTGGCTGCTCCTTCTCTAAACCATGAACTAGACCATGCAGATATATTATTTTCATTTATAATAGGAAATTAAATCACACAGAAGCTAAGCAACTTGTGTAAACAGATGTACTTTTCGGGCAGCAGGAAGACTAGAAACAGCCCCTGTTGTCTGAATTTCAGACCCCAGTTTTATTTAAGCCCATATCAAATGAAGAGCTTTTAATTTTCAAGCCTGTGGTTCAGAAATTATTGAACTTTTGTCGTTTAAGATCAGTAGGATTCCCTTTATAAGTATTCACTTCATTTGAAACTTTTAAGCCACAGTAGAAGAAAATTTCTGTCTCGAGATGGTGGGCCTTTTAGATAGACCTGACTCTCTACTTATAGTAAATTTTGTGTATCAGATGTGTAGAATCCTCCTTGGAGTATGGATGTGAGACAACTGTACAGTTGAGTTAAAAGTAGTACCACTGTGGAAAATGGAAGACACATACAACATTGTTATAAAACATTATGACAACCAGAGAGCAAATTCATTTCAATAGATTATTGTTAAGTTGTATTTGTTTTTCTTTGTAGATATAGGCAACTTTTCATTTTACATGCTAATTATAGGTCTGTGAAACCCATATTACTAAAATACTCAGAGAAACTGTTCTTAGTTAATATGGCAATTTTCCCAGACCAGGTATGGTATTCTTGAGTTTTATTTATTTTTATTTCACTGAAATTCTTGAGTTTTATTTATATTTATTTCATCTGTCCATCAACTCAGAATTTTTAAAACATCCATGTGATCAAGCAAAAAATTAGTTCATAAGGGCAAGGAAATATTTATGTGACTGCAGTCTACCTATTAAGAAAACATTGCTTGATGTAGTTCTAGAATTTGAGGAACCCTTATTTTAAAGATAATGGCTAAATGCATTTACTGCATGTTTTATTGAGCTCCAGTGAAATCGGTCACATCTTGTAGTTTGTCCTAATTAATAGCCACCCCAGAATGTAATGTCTTCTGTTAAAAAAAGAGAAAACCTGTTCAGCTGGTTCAGCTGTCTTAACCTAACCAAATTCATATTTTAACTTTGAGTATGGTAATGACTACCAAATTACAGATATTTTAGATACTATTTTCAGCTTCTAAAAGGTTTGGGCATTGTTTAAATACTATTGAGTAATGAAGTGGGATGAGGGGAACATGGGGAAGGTTTTTTAAAAAGTTTAAAAGAAGAAAAAGTTAAAAAAGATTCATCTAAGTCATTTTATTTTATAGCTTAGGAAACTAAGGCCAGAGAGAAGTAATTGATCTATTTTTTGGGTTTGTAATTTTGCCTTTTCCATAATGTCATATTAATGGAATTGTTCAACGTGTGGCCTTTGGGGTCTGGTTTGTTTCCTGTAATGTAGCAAAAATGCACTTAAGATTCATCCATCTTGCATGAATTAACAGCTTCTTCCATTTTGTTGTTGAGAGTATTCTGTTGTGTAGATACTCTGTTTATCCATTCACCTATTAAAGGACATCACGTCTTCACTGGAATGAAGTACATCTTCATACATGTACTGGTTTTGGTGTGAACCTGTTTTCAGTTTATACTGGTAAATAACTTTGGGGCATAGTTGCTGAGTTGTATGGTAAGCTTGTGTTTACCTTTATAAGAAACTGCCTAACCTTCTAACATGGCTGTACTTACCTTCATTTTTGAAAGATATTTTAGCTGGGCTTAGAATTCTTTGTAGATAGTTTTCTTTTCTTTTCTATACTTTAAATATATTGAACCACTCTCCTCTGATTTGCATTGTTTCTGATGAGAAGTCTGATGTCATTCCTACCTTTGTTACTCTATGTATTTTTTTCCCCTGCTTTAAGATTCTTGTTTATTGCTGTTTTGCAGCTATTTTACTCTGAGATGTTGTGATCATGTGGTTTTGTTTTTGTTATTCTCTTTAGAGGTTGTTGAATTTGGATCTGTGGGTTTATAGTGCTCATCAAATATATTTAAAAAATTTAGTTCCAGTTTCCCCTCCTTGTGCTTCAGCCTCAAAACTACAGGCAGTGAGCTGGGTGTACTACGTTTGTTCTTTTTCTTGACGATCTCTGTCCTGAGAAGATTGTTGTGTGATGTCTGGAAACCATTGTTTCATATATTTTGTCTAGTTTTCTGTTTATTTAAGGTAGAAGGGTAAACATAGCCTCCTTTTTTCATCATGAAATACATCCTTGCCTTATAGAAAATTTCATTGTAGTTTTGCAAATATTTGTCTTTTCTGAATTCTTGAATATAGGACTTGGTGGGAGAACAGTGTATAAACCTTAATAAATTTTGGCACCTAGGGTGCATGCTGTCTCTCATACTTGTTCCTTTTCACAGATTGTGTCTCTCTTTGACGTATTGTACATCCTTTCATTTCCAATATGAAGGTTATCAACAGAATTTATTGCTGAATATTTTTATTTAATATAGTACAGTGAAGATAGTGGTGACAGATGTTAACTTTTCATGTTTATTTGGAAGAAAATACAGTGTCTTCAGTCATTTTTCTTTTTTGTTTATTAAAAGGAGATAATGATTCTTAGTTCACTATAGAATATTAGCTCCCACATTGATTAGAGTATATAATGGCTATGGATTGAAACTCCAGGCCATGAAATATTTCCAGTTATCCCCAGAAGAGGAAACAAAGCAAATAATAAATAGATTTTCCCTTTATACAAAAATCCATAATTCTTCAAAGTGAACTTGTATCTGGTAAATTCTTACAGATTAAATATTAATACGTATTGTTGTGGTGTTAGCCTATAAATTTCAGTCATTATTTTTTGTATATAATTAGGTTGTATTAAAGATGTATACAGCATTAGGGTATTGAAAATTATCTTACCTGATTATAGATTTCCAACATTCTTTTGCTGACATTAATATAATTGGAGGTAATTCGTAGACCCTAAATATTATATAAGAAGGAAAACATTTTATTCTATAAGTACTGACTGAAATTTTGCATTTATTATCCACTGAATTCAGAGTCACCATGTATGTATTAATGGTAAGGCATGTACTACTTTACAATTTAATATTATACAACACTAATATTAAAACGGTTAATATTTAGGGGATGCATAATAAAATAATCTTGCTTTCTTTTTGTGACAATCGTGAAAATTTGAGTTGGAGCCAAATGTGCGTCATTTAACAATTCCTGAATATCCAATTCATTTGTAACTTTCCTTATGAATAACCTCATTGCTTGCTAAATGATAAAGATTACATTTATAATAGTAAATATGCTTTAAAACTTTACTCCTTTGTTATTTTTGAAAGAGATATTTAATTCCAAAGGTATTTATAAATTTGGTAATCAATAATTACAATTTTGTCATACAGCCTGACTGAAGTATTTTGGCTAAACGTACACTGTAAGATAGTCAGACTTAAGTAAAAATACAACTCCCACTACCTTTGTGATGAAACATAAAAGAGGAGCCAGAAGATAGGTTTTTGTCACCTGGGTTCTTTTTAAAACTTAAATTTAGTAATATTCATTTTTAATTTTTTTTTAAATGTTCTGCCCGTATAGATTGCTTTTTAGAGGTACTCCATATATATGTGTACATGTGTGTTTGTTGGTTTTAATAATTCTAATTCACTCTCCTTATAAATTATAGATTAGATGTTATCTCCTCACAAAATGTTTGTTGATATTAAATAATAGCTCTGAATTTGAATACCAATGTTTAGTGGCTAGCAAGATTATTAGTTCAGTAGGTATGCATACTACTTCCTTAGGGAGAATGCTTAACAAAACTTAGGTAAGAGATATCTGTCTTGAAAATGCATATTTACAAATTCTTTGTAGACCCACCTTTGAATATTTGAACTCTCATTTTCAATATTCATTTTAAAGACAGCATTTCTTGTGACTGTCACCTCAGCTTCAGTGCTTTTTTTATTTTTATTTTTTATTTTTTGGTGGGAGGTGGTACCTGGAGTGCAAGTCATTTTGACTTATTTATATCTCTGCAGTTTAAGAAATCATCCCCATTATTTTTTCGCCCAATGTAAAAAAGTGAATTCCCTATTGGAGTATGCATGAAATTGGATGACTGAAAGACAAAAGCATCAAAGGAAGTTGACATTTTTTGCTCTTCTTTTTGGAGTAAAGTTTAATAGATTATTGAGTTATGTTTGTATCTCTTAATCGTGTTAAGAATATATGTTGCATTCTCATTTTGTTGCATGGGAATAAACCTACACAGAATGAATCGGTAGCTGTGTGAATAACTTGTATTTCTATCTATCATATATAATCATTTGGAGGGGAAGGATTTATAGTTAAATGATTGAATGTGAATTGTATATTTTTGAGATAACTGGAGAAGATTCATGTAAAAGAAAAAAATATGTCAGTTGTGGGAGGGGTAAACTTTTTTGTCCACTTCATTTTTTATTCACTGTAAATTTCTCCCTTGTGTGTGATGTCTGGCAGACAGTCTTAATTGAAGAAAGTAGAAGTGGGTAGGAAGAATGTTTCATATTTAATAATTTCTGTTGCAAATAAAGTATGCCAGTCTAGCCCGCGAAAATGGTTACGAGGAAGACTAGAGTATAGAACAATTACTTTTTGTTTTTTGTTTTCTGTGTATCATATTGAATATTTTTGCTGCTGTTGATATATTTACATGTTAGTAATTTTGATGGCTTTTGGATAATTCCACTCTAGAGGGAGACGTGGTGGGCGGTCCTTCCTGTGACACGACCCTTGAGTGACAGTTCTATTTGATTGCCTCCGGTACTGTGAGGAAAGGACACGACTCTATGGTGAGGACTGATGGACATACATTATCTGAGAAAAGAAACTACCAGGTAAGACCAGTCTTTCTTCTTTTTTCTCTATTGGTCTTATAGCTACATTGAAACTGTTCAAATGTGTTATATGTAATTGGAACCAGCAAATTGGTTACACCTCAATTTGAAAATTTGGGTTTATAATTTTAAATTAAGTACTGGATTTGATAGTTGAAATAGTTGGGAACACTTTTCAAAATAAAGCATATTCATAATGTATATTTTTTAGTGTCAAATCAGGTTTTCTGAGATATTTGTCAAAACTTAGATTATTTGATATACAAGTTATGACTTCATGACTGAATTCAAAATGGTAAAAACAAAAGTGTTGATTGCTTTTACGTATATTATTCCTGGAAGACTAAACCCGAAGTCTTGTGCTATATTTTGGATAACAAAGTATATATCACAGAAATGTAGACAAAATTGAGTAGAGTATAGAAGAAATAGAAATGAGAAACCCAGGGTGCTTAGAGACCCAAATTCTATTGAATTTGTTATTAGTTTGCTGTCCTTAAATGCTAGATTCTTGTTTTCTCATTTAATAAGGTGGTTAATAATATTCATTCCTTATTCAGTGTGTAGGAAGGCTGGAAGAATAGTGGAAATGTAACATTGCTATTTCTGAGCTTTGAAAAGAAGGTGAATTTTAAAGATTGTGCTATTAAACAGTGATTTAAAGAAAACCAACATATTTGAATTTAGTTTTTTAAAGGAAATATCCTTTATTCATTTGATAGTGATCTGTTATCACATTTATTTAGTTATCCAGAATACAGAATACTTTAAAGTTTGAGTACAAATAAACTTTTAGGCTTCCTGCACAGATATGTGTCCAACCTCCCCACCTCCCACACTTCCTTTCACTCATCAGTTCATTCCCTCTAGGTTGTGAAGGCAGCTAGTATGATAGCAGCAGCTTTGGTTAACTAACTGTTTATCTGCTAACCATTTATTTTAGCCCAGTTAATCTTTTCTTCCCTCAAATTGGAAAAGTTAGCAGTGGAGCAAATTGTAAATTAGTCTTTTTGGTGTATGGTATAACAAAGAGGCTTTGATTATAAGATCTGGGTTCTGGTTTAGGCACTGTTCCTAATTAAAAATAATGTCATATTTAACCTTTCTAGAATTTCTTCTAACTTGGTATCTAAAGTTTCTTGCCAGATCTTTATGATTTTAATAAGCCAGAGAAAACTGAGGGTATGCTGAATCAGTTTTCTCTGTAACCTTTCTTCTGAGTTGTCCTCATAGACTTGACCAACATAGCCTTTGCTAATGATCTGTACTCAGGTGTAGCTCCTGCTTCCCACCCACTTCCAATTACCTTGACTCATAAGATTTTAATTGGTCACACTTCTTGGACTTCTGCATCTTTTGGTAGGTTCTGCCAAATTATTTTAAGAATTTTGTGATTCTGAATTATATGGCTTTTCAGTGCTCATAATCCAATTTGTAAAGTGTGAATGTAGAATTTTTATGTGATTACACACTATAGTTAATTTGTCTCATGGAACCACATTAATATAGAATTCCAAAATTTATACTTAAGAAAGAAAACAGAATTATGTTTTATACATGAAGAGATTTGCTTATTCTTGCTCTTTCTACACTAAAAGTACTCCATTGTTTCAGTCATATTATTTACAAATAATCCAGGTTTTTGAGCATACCTGGAAAATGCATTTTTGGTTATGGGTTTGCTGCCTCAAAATGTTTTCCCTTTTCTCTCTTCGTTTATTGATACATAATTGTACGTATTTATGGGGTACATGTGGTATTTTGTTACATGTATAGAATGTCTATATAAGAATGTATGGGAAATTCAAAGGAATGTTCATCACTAAAGTAACATTTATATTTGTACTGGTAGTCTAAGAATTTTTATATTCTTAATATATTCATCATAATACCAAACAGGAAATTTTGTTTCTATACATGTGCTTTTCAGAGTAGGGTTCAAAAATAAAATAATTTTACAATCCAGCTTTAAACAGCTGTTTCCAAGGTATACTTCAATATGCATTTAGCATCACTAAGTAAAAACAAAAGAGAAAAGGGACATAGAGGGATAAATTCTAATGTTCCATAGCAGAGTAGGGTGACTATAATTAACAAGAAGGTATTGTATATTTCAAAATAGCTAGAAGAGAGAACTTAAATCTTCCGAATTGATGAAAATGATTTTGGATTTTTAAAAATTCTACTTTGGAGGAAATTTATGTATTTTTCATAGATAAAGTAGAATTTCTTTGTGTCTATGTTTATAACCATTTTCATTTATCTTTGAGGGCTTTTGCTTTTGAGGGACACTTAATATTTTATATTTATTTGAACATTCTGATAATAGGCTAATATTGAAGAGTTTAACAAGAATTTTTGTAAAATTTATCCAGGTCTCATTTCCTTACAGACCTGATTAAAGCCTTAGGAATTAAGTTTAGGAAGGTGCATTCCCTTGGCTCTATACTAAAGATAGTGACTTTTAAATGGGCTTGGTTTGAAGTATTGATTTTTATGGTGGTATCTACTTTGTGTGTTTTCTTTCTTACTATAAGTTTAAGCCCAGTTAGGTATTTGGAGTTTGAATACAGTAGCTGAAGTTTATTTGCAGAGATAGACTGGCATATTAGTTCAGATAAAACAATTTATTATATGGCTCATGGTTCATTTTTGGATTGTCAAGCTTTTTCCAAGGAAATGCACCTTCAGTTTTTGTAACCATTTTCTTATCTTCCTCTAATTTAGACTAACTTACCCTAGCTATGAGCATGCACATGCACAAATGTAAACCATCTTAATTACCAATTTAACTAATCAATGGCTTTCCCTTTTTTTTTTTTTTTCTTTTTTTTTGAGACGGACTCTTGCTCTGTCACCCAGGCTGGAGTGCAGTGGTGCGCTCACTGCAACCTCCGCCTCCTGGGTTCAAGCGATTCTCCTGCCTCAGTCTCCTGAGTAGCTGGGATTACAGGCGTGCGCCACCACACCCAGCTAATTTTTGTATTTTTAGTAGAGATGGAGTTTCACCATGTTGGTCAGGCTGGCCTCGAACTCCTGACCTCGTGATCTGCCCGCCTTGGCCTCTGAAAGTGCTGGGATTACAGGCGTGAGCCACCGGTGCCCGATCCGGCTTTCCCTTTGTTACATAACATATTCAAGCTTCTAAACATTACCTTTAGACTTTCCAAATTCTGGCCTCCTTACATCCATTTACCTTTCCAATATATCTCCTGTTACTTTTTGTAGTAGATTTTCCCATTTAATAATACAACACTGCTTTTAATCTCCCTGCCATGCAGTTTCACACCCACAGGGGTTTACTTATATTGGTTATTTTCATGTAATGCCTCACCTTTGTTCACATGATTCAAGAATTAAGTATCAGTTTTTCCAGACGTCACCCTATGGTAGATTCAGTGTTCCTTTCCCTTTCTTTCATAGCCTTTACATACTTCTAGTTTAGTGTTTACCATAATACATTGTAGTTGTGTTTATTTGTCCTTGTCTTCCTATAGACTTGTGCAGTCCAATGCCGTAGGAACTAGTCACAAGTAGCTATTTAAATTTAAACTCATTTAAATTAAATAAATTTAAACTCATTTAAATTAAATAAATTTTAAAGTTCATTGGTCACATTAACCACATTTCAAATGCTCAGTGGCTACATGCTGCTAATGGCTACTGTATTGAACAGTGTAGATACAGAACATTTCTATCATTGCAGAAAATCGTATTAGATAATACTGCTGTATCTAATAAGCTTCTTGAAAACTGGGACCGTATCTGTTTATTTTGGTACTGCCAATACCTAGCTTGGTGCTTGGTATGTAGATAGGTGTTCAATGCATGTTGTTCCAATAAAATTAAATAAAACAGTGAAAGAAGGGAAAGGAAGAAATGGAAAGTATACTGGGTAACATACCAGTGTAAGTGGTATGGGAAGGTAGAGGTATTTGCAAGATATTTAGATGTTACTTTGAATGGAACTTTTCAGTATGAGGTCATTGGTCACATCATATGCTAGCTAATTCAATGCATTATCTACAAACTGGGTCTAATGCATCCTATTCCGTACGTTTCTGAAGAATGATTCATAATCTAAAACATTGTATTTTTGTGGAATATAGTATGTCAGAGAACTGTAAAAATGATTGTATTGCCATTTTCTTCCCCAACATTAAATATCTTACTTCCTTTTAATTAACTTTAAAAATCACAGATGCCTATTACCAAAACGTTGAAGAAAAATACGGAATATAAAATACAGTGTGAAAGTTTGCCTTGACAACTTTACTCTTAACAGTTTGGTGTGTACCTCTTCAGATCTTTACTAGTGACTATATAGTGTAGATGTGATTCATTGTCTTTGTCTCTAACAAATGTGTATTTTTCTGCATTGTACTTAATGGAGCTATTTCCGTTTCCCATTCTTTCCTCTGCCCTCTTCCCCAGAAGTAATCAATAGTTTTAATTTTGTGTTTCATTCTTTATATTTTTATAACTTATTACATATATGTTTTTCAGTATATTGAGGTACATCTTTTTTATGTATTGTGTGGCAATTTTTTGGAAAGTGGTGCCCCATATTTTATTATTTTGAGTAGGAAAAATCATAATTTCCAGCCCACTTAAGACCCTAAACAATTTCCTAGATATAGCTAAAGTACTCAACACCTACTTGATAATTCACCAAGGATTTCTGCATAATACAGAGTATTTAAAATACAAACTACTTAATATAAACAGAAACAAATGAATCACTAAGTATATTTCCATTTAGTATGTACTGTATTCAGATAATACTTTTTCTTTTATACTGCAATAAAATTGTAATTGTAAATAAACAGTTAAGTGTATTTCCTTTCTTTTATTGTTAAGTGGCACATTATTGAACATGTTTCTCTCTCTGAAGTCAGGATGCATCTTACAGCTGATGGTGACTTCAAGTCATAGTTGTGACAAACAGTACCAGCACCAAAGCATCTTAGAATCTATGATATATAGTATGTTAAAGATATATAATGAATATAAAGAACACTTAATAAAATAAAATCATAGCTGAGTGTAGTGCTGTGCACCTGTAGTCCTAGCTACTGGAGAGGCTGAGGCGGGAGATTAGCTTGAGCCCCAGAGTTTGAGGCTGCAGTGAGCTATCATCACACCACTGCACTCCAGCCTGTGTGACAGAGCAAGACCCTCAGTCAGTCGATTGATAGATAGATAGATAGATAGATAGATAGATAGATAGATAGAATTTTATTAAATTAATACTTAACAATTGAAAAGTTGTCAGATCTGGTGCCCAGAGAAGAAAAATTGAGTTTGTAGTTATTATTGCTGCTTGGTGTTAGGTGAAGATGAATAAGAGCGACCTAATGAAAGAATGAGTTTAAAAAAAAAAAAAAAAAAAAGGAAAAAAGCCTGAATCCAATGAATTGGTTCAGTTTCCTCTTCTTTGCTCTTGAAAGCCTTGCAACCAGATGGCTGTGACATGTTATCACTAGCCAGAGATAAAGTAAAGGGGTAGAATGACTTTTTATGTGCCCTTTACTTGCATTTATACAGCTGCTTAAGATGAAGTTGCTCTTATAATTACATTTTTGATTGTGAAAGCTCTGTTCATGTCATGATCACATGATCAGCAACGGAAGTCACTTTGACTTCATGATGTAAATTTTTTTTTTTTTTTTTTTTTTTGAGATGGAGTTTCGCTCTTGTTGCCCAGGCTGGAGTGCAGTGGCGCGATCGCTGGAGTGCTCACCACAACCTCTGTCTCCTGGGTTGAAGCGATTCTCCTGCCTCAGCCTCCTGAGTAGCTGGGATTACAGGCATGTGCCACCATGCCCAGCTAATTGTGTATTTGTTTTTTGGTAGAGACAGAGTTTCTCCATGTTGGTCAGGCTGGTCTCGAACTCCTGACCTGAGGTGATCCATCTGCCTCGACCTCCCAATGTGCTGGGATTATAGGTGTGATCCACTATGCCCAGCTTTTTTTTTTTTCTTTTTGAGACAGGGTCTCACTCTGTCACCCAGGCTGGAGTGCAGTGGCACCATCTCCGCTCACTGCAACCTCTGCCACCTGGGTTCAAGCAATTTTCGTGCCTCAGCCTCCCAAGTAGTTAGAACTACCTACACGCACCACCACATCCGACTAATTTTTGTATTTTTCGGTAGATACAGGATTTTACCATGTTGGCCACGCTAGTCTCAAACTCCTGACCTCAGGTGATCTCCCTGCCTTGGCCTCCCCAAAGTGTTGGAATTACAGGCATGAGCCACTGTGCCGACCTAATCTAAATTTTTAAAAATAAAATTTGACCTTTTTTTTTTTTTTTTTTTGGCATTCATGGCTTCTCTTTGTCCTCTTTCTCAGGCCAACCAGTAATGTCAAATCAAGTTAAATGAATTCCCAAGTTCCTCATTGGTTGGCTCATTGCCGTGTGATGCTAAGTGTTAACCTTTCTTTGAATGCATTATACGTTCTGATACTTTTTTTATTATCATCTGAAATCATCAAATAAGGTGACATTTGTTTTCCAAAAAATAAGTTTCACCAAGACACCTGGTTTATAGCACCCTTAGTGAATTGGTAATTTTTTCATAGTGCCCTTGGGCCAAAAGAAACTCTGCTAAATAAGTAATTAGGTCCAAATCACTTATATTCATATGATTATCTGATAGATATTGCTGTATTTCCTAAGAAGATATAAAATATCTAGTAGCACCCCTGTGTGTTCGCTCTGGTGTTCCTTTTGGCAACGTATGACGTAGACTTTATATATGAAATATGAAGTGTTCTCTTTCAGAAAAATAGTTTACATTTAAGTGGTTTGCCTTAATCATGAATGTGAAATGTGTACTCATTAAATCAAAAGTTAAGACATTAATGCGGATATTTCTGTGAATCAGAGAAAATACAGAAGCAAGCAAAGTTATGTTTTGATTTTGTTTTTGTTTTTGTTTTTTTTTTTTAGACGAACTCTTGCTCTGTTGCCCAGGCTGGAGTGCAGTGGCCTGATCTCGGCTCACCGCAAGCTCTGCCTCCCAGGTTTATGCCATTCTCCTGCCTCAGCCTCCTGAGTAGCTGGGACTAAGGTGCCCACCACGACGCCTGGCTAATTTTTTGTATTTTTTTTTTTTTAGTAAAGACGGGGTTTCACCGTGTTAGCCAGGATGGTCTCGATCTCCTGACTTCATGATCCGCCTGCCTTGGCCTCCCAAAGTGCTTGGATTACAGGCGTGAGCCACCGCACCTGGCCGCAAAGTTATCTTTTAAGAGGTTATCTTAGGTCTTGCGTGGAGTCTAGGATGATAGCACTGATGGTGGCAGGTTAGTTTTTTGTTTTTTTTTTTAAATCTTTCTGAATTTCCACATAAAAATAGAACCAGCTAGACAGCAAAACTAAAACTCGTGAAACATAACAGAACTTCTTGACAAAGTGTCCCCATGAACCCCAATATAAGCAGATGAGAACTAAGAAAAAGACCTACAGTTTTCAGTTTTTATGCATAAAATGAGACCCATTGGGATGTCTGATGGACCTGAGAGTGGAGGCACCCAATGTAGTCAACAGGTATTCACTGGTAAGTACAATTAGCCAGTTTGAAATTGGGAGAGATTTTGTCAACCTCATAAGGTGAGTGAGGAACCCATGGTAAGGCTAAAGTGATTGGAGCAGCTTAGCTCTCTGACCTCTTGAGAGTGACCCACCAGTGTGTCCTTCTAGGATTCCACTGAGGAGAGGAATTAAAATTGAGCAGGAAAGGGACAACAGTGACATTGGAAAGAGAAGGTCCAGATAAAAATGGGAGAGGGGAGCAGAACCAGGAAATCTCAGTAAATAAGCGATCATATTTTCAAACACTATGTGAAAATAACAGAAGAGAGAACTTTATGACGTTAGAGAAGTTTATCTGAACAAAGCAGTATTCTAAAACTTCAGGAAGATTACATTCCTAAGAGGTCTTCTAGGAATGTATTTGGGAGTGTTTATACCAATTTTGAGCCCCATCAGTAGTCCTCATATTCATCTGACATTTGATAATTTCAGAATTAAAATTTTTTTCCATCTATTGAGGTTGTGTTTGAGATATATTGAGATATTCTTCATAGTCTTTTAAAAAAGATTTTTTGTTTTGTCTTCCATATTTAATCTACCTGAAATTGATTTTTGTACATGGTGTTAGAAGTACAGTTTCCTTTCCCCTGCACCTAAATTATCATATTAGCATTGTGTACCAATTTATTCTAACCTCCTTAACTATTCAGTAGTGCTAGCTCTATTGTAAATCAAGTTTCTCTTTATATGCATGGATTTCTTATGTCTCTGTTACCTTGATGTGTTTGTCTGTGCCTATACCAATATCATGTTTTCTTAAATACTAAAGCTTTGTGTTAAATCTTCATGTCTGTCTGTCAACCTTTTTCTTCATAAGAGTCTTGACTTGGCCTTTTGCTCTGTGACAAATTTAGAATATTCATGAGAATGCTCCCCTCCAACACAAAAAGAAGTATTGAGTTTGTAAGTGGAATTGCATTGACTTTAGTTTTCTTTGTGGAAGAATCGATAAGTTTATGTATTCTTTCATGTTTTCTCTCAAAGTTTTATATTTTTTTCATAAGGGACTTAGAAATCTTTAGTCCAATTTATGACTACTTTTGTTGCTTTTCTTGGTTGTAAATTAAAAAAAAATTTTTAGTTATAGGTGTTATTGAAATATAGTTGACTTTTAAAATTGATTTTTGTATCTCAATGTTGCTAAACTTTTTAATTTTTATAATTTATCTGTAGGCTTTTTGGGGGGTTCATATAAGTAAACACATCCTTTGGAAATGACAGTTTTGAAATTGTCACCAGTTTTGAAGTTGTCATCATTAAATAATATTTGATACAGGATTTTTTTTATAGATATACTTTATCAGGGTAAAGAAATTGTTCATAATGCTACCTTATATATTTTTTTCCTCTGTAGCATCTTTTTCTTCTTAAGGTTGTTTACTATGTGCGTTTTCCCCTTATTTGGTCAGACTTACTAGTGATTCGTCAGTTTTACTAGGGGTCAAATTTTAGCCTTTATTTATTTCTAAAATTTAATTTTGTTTTCTATTCATCAGTGTTCTTTAATGTTTTCCTTTCACTTCTTAGGGTTTGTTATACTGTTCTTTAATCTTACGTTTTTAATTTTCCAGGTAATTATCAGGTTTGTCTAGTTATCTTTTTGTTGCTGATTTCTCATATAATTCCATTTTGGTTCAAGAATGTGGTCTGTATGATACAATTATTTGTTTATGTGTTTGAACAAAATGTATATTAACCAAATTGGCAGGTGTATTGCTTTGTTTCTCTCCATTAGATCAAGTGTTAATCTTATTATGTACATCTTATGTATCCATATAATCATTTATCCCTTTGTTTAGATCTAGATTCCAATATATCTTATTTCTTTAATTATTTTATAAATTTTTGTGTTTAGCCTGTGATAAATCCAACAATTGGAAGTTGTCACATATTATGCTAATGTTTTTGTTTCTGCTGGTTCTCATTGTGCCTTGTTTCCTTGTGTGTATATTAAGCTATCATTTCATGTTTCTTAGAACTCTGGGAATTCTTTGAGCACTGGGTAGAAGGGGACATTTCTCCCAAGGGGATTTTCACTTGTTTTTGCTAAGACCCTAAGGCACTACCAATCCAGAACCAATTCCAAATAAAATATTAGCTTGAGGTTGCAGTCCACATAGGCAATGTGAATTTATGCTTTTTTGTGGCTATAAATTTTCAGAGCATTCCTTCACCACTTTTTGCTTACCATAAATAACAGGAACATCAAGATTTTTTGCTGTCCTCTTTACTAAGGGGTTATTACAATTATGGTGTAGCTCTTTTTTTTTTTTTTTTTTTTTTTTGAAACGGAGTTTCGCTCTTGTTGCCTAGGCTGGAGTGCAATGGTACGATCTTGGCTCACTGCAACCTCTGCCTGCCTGGTTCAAGCAATTCTCCTGCCTCAGCCTCCCAAGTAGCTGGGATTACAGGCACCTGCCACCATGTTCAGCTAATTTTTTTTGTATTTTTAGTATGGATGAGGTTTCACCACATTGGCCAGGCTGGTCTCCAACTCCTGACCTCAGGTGATCCACCTACCTCGGCCTGGGATTACAGTGCTGGGATTACAGGCATGAGCCACCGCTCTCAGCCAGGGTGTAACATTTTAAGGTACATGATTTATAAAAAGCTTTTTTAAATAGCTTCTCCTTTAGGGATATAAGCTTGTGGCTTCTCTGGAATTCTAGCTTTTACTCTCATTTAAGGGTGTTGAATTTCCCTTCCTCCCTTGCAGGTTCAGCTGTACACTTAAAAATGTAACCTCTGTTAGTGTTTATTTTGTTCATTGCTGTATCCTCACCTGAGAATAATGTCTGGCATGTAGTAAGTATTGTTGATTGGATAAAGTTAGTATTTTATGGAGTGATTTTAGTTGTTATTTAGTGGGGCATTCTGGGTTCTTAGTTGTACTACCAAACAACATCTATTTTAATTATTCTTTAGATCTCAGCTGAAATCTCACTTCCTAAGGGAAACATTTTCTGCTTAGACTTCTGTTACATTTTCTCATTGTTCATGGTAATTTTAGGGATGGTGGTAATGTTATTTCTGCGTTTTATTATCATTCATAATGGAATAGGTTTGTTGACTCTTTTTCTCTTTTTCTTCCCATCTTTTCCTGTTTTTACTTCTTATCCCTTTCTTCTCTCCTTTCGCTTTTTTTTTATTCCCTCCCTTGCCCTGCTTTATTTTCTTGCTCACTTCTCTTCCTTTTTTCTTTCTTCCCTTCTTTCTTCATAATATTTTTCTTCTACCTAAAGGATTAAAAAATTTTTTTTCTAAGGCACTTCTAGTGGTGATGAATTATTTTAGGTTTTGTTTGAAAAGTCTTTATTTCACCTTTATTTGTAAATATACTTTCACTGAGTCTGAAGTTCAAAATTGACGGGTTTTTTGCTTTTAGAATTTTTTAAATGATGATTCGCTGTCTTCTTATTTCCTATGAAAAGTCTGCTGTCATTCTTATGTTTAGTCTTGTGTGTATAATATACCTTTTTCTCTCTGGCTAATATTAAGATTTTTAAATTTGTCACTTATTTTACACAGCTTGATTAAGGTCTATGTCGGTATAATTTTTTTTATGAGTCTTACACGTGGGATTTGTTGAGCTTCTTGAATTTGTATGTTTATACAAATTTAGGAATTTTTTTCATCCATTATTTATTTGAATATATTCTCTGTCTTCACTGTCCTTTGAGGACTCCAATTACGCATATACCTAATTGCCTGGAGTTGTCCCATAGCTTACTGATGCTTTGTTCATTTTTTTCTTTCTTTTTTTCTCACCATGCTTTAGTTAGGATAGTTTTTATTACTGTTTTTTTAAGTTTGCTAATCTTTTCTTCAGCATGCCAATTATTCTGCCTTCTTTTACATACAAAATGTAATTATAACTCCTTGCATATCATTGTCTACTAATTCTGTTACTCATGTTTACTAATAGAAACTATGTCTGTTTCTATTGAGTGTTGGTTTTTTTTTCCTCCTCATTATCTGTTCTCTTTTAGGGCTTCTTTGCATGGCTGGTGATTTTTGCTTGGATGCCAGTCTTTGGAAACTTTATCTTGTTGAGTGCTATATAATGTTTGTATTTCTGTTAATATTCTTTAGATTTCTTGTGGTTGCAGTTAAGTTACTTATAATAGAAGCCATTTGATCTTTGAGACATCCTTTTCTTTTTTTTCTTTTTTTTAGGTCTTGTTTAACAGAACCAGAGTAATCTTTAGGGTTAATTTTCTTCCAACTACTTAAGCAATTCTTTTCTGAATTATGTAAATTATGTTTTTCTACTCTGGCTCATAGGAAAATAAATGATTCCCAGCCCTGTCTGGGCCCTGGGGATTGTTTTCTCTGTTTCTTTCAGGTGGCCTTTTTTTTTTGTTTTTTTTAGCTTCTGGTAGTTTCCTTCCATGCATGTGCTAATCAGTACTTAGCTGAAATCTCAGAGGAACCCTCTGCATATTTTCAGAGATCTTTCTCTGTGCCAGTCATTCTTGTTTAGTATCCCAGCCTATTCTGGCTGCCTTTAATTGCCCTCTTCTCCACTTCCTCAATTCACAAAGATTGCTGGGCTCCACCAATCTGGAATCCCTCTCCCTCACTGCACACTGAAAATTCTTTCAGTCTTATAAGCAAGGGTAGTTGTTGAGCCCTCAATGATTCTTTCTCTGGTCTCAAGGATTATTGTCCTGCACGGCCTGATATCCTGTGTCTGAAATCAATTGTTTAATATATTTTGTCCATTTTCAAGTTGTTTTAGGTGGGCTGCTGCTACAACTAATACTACCACACTACTCTCTCGGTTGGAAGTGAAAGTCTTAATGTTTCATTTTTTAAAATTATTTTTTCTTATTAAAATTTTTTTTATAGAGACAGGGTCTCACTATGTTGCCCAGGCTTGTCAAGTGATCCTCCCACCTCAGCCTCTCAAGATGCTGGGATTACAGGTGTGAGCCACTGCACCCTTATTTCATTTTTAAAAACTATATTTTGGTTGAGAAGATGAATGAAAACCATCCCTGATAAAGAGAATAAGCTTTTGTGTCAATATTCAGATAAGGCTTGGATGCTTTCTCTTGTATAAAATACTATACAGTGTGCAATATACACAAATTTCAGACCATTTCTCAGCATTTAAGGTCATTTAGAATGAAAAATAAAACAGTACAGGTCAGTAAATGAATTCCAGTTCTTATGTAGAATTGTCATAGTCCTGATTCAATTTAACTTAAAAATTGGACTGTTTCCTCTGAATTTCCTGATTCCCTTAAGATTCCCTAGAATCCAGTAGGCCCATAGATACAGTGGTCATTCATTTTCTCAGCTGTCAGGTAAAAATTTTACCAATAAGCATTTCTTACTTTAAAAAAATCTGTGTTGTATAGCATAAAATAGTATATTATCTCTGTATTGTTTTATCTGGATCAGTAAATTAAAGACATTATAATAAATGTGCTAATGAAAATATAAGATGTTTTCAAGGAAAAAGGAAAGACCCTTATTAGGGCCAAAAATGCTACCGGCACATGAAATTTTACACCTATTCTTTTCTACCAAGGCACTTTTCTAAAGGCACTGTGATAAAACTAAAACAAATGTGCTTGGTAGAGTGAAGAGCCTTTAGTTTGAGCCACTAGTCTTCACATTCTACCTGAATCACTTGGGTCCATTTATGTAAAGTCTTTGACACCGTGTTCATAGTTAACAGTGAAACCTTTAAAAGATTTGGTTTGCTTTGTTAAAGCATTTCCATTAAATAGAGAAGGAAAGTAGAAAATTACCATTAAAACACCATGGTAGGCCAGGCGTGGTGGCTCACGCCTCTAATCCCAGCACTTTGGGAGGCTGAGGCGGGCAGATCACCAGGTCAGGAGATCGAGACCAGCCTGGCTAACACGGTGAAACCCCATCTCTACTAAAAATACAAAAAATTAGCCAGGCGTGGTGGCGGGCACCTGTAGTCCCAGCTACTTGGGAGGCTGAGGCAGGAGAATGGCGTGAACCAGGGAGGCGGAGTTTGCAGTGAGCCGAGATCGTGCCACTGCACTCCAGTCTGGGCGACAGAGTGAGACTCCGTCTCAAAAAAACAAAACAAAACAACACCACGGTAATAGATACTGCGAGCAATATTCACGGATGAATGCTATAAGGAGTGGACAGAAATGTAAGGGCAGACAGGTATTTGCATGTTCTCACAGTACTCCAAAACATTTCTTATTTAAAAAGAGAAAACTAGTAGTTTACAGTGGAGAAAACTTCCAGATGCACCACTTCACCTGTAATAAGACATATTAACATCATATGCACTCATATATTGGAATATATGCATCACATATGATGCACTTGAGAAGACTACATCAGCTCTGTGGTGATGTGGCTTTCAGAATGCATAACTTCAGTCTAATGAGAAAACATCTGACAAACCCCAACTGTGGGACATTCTGCAGTGTGTATGATATAACATCAATATTATGAAAGAAGAAAGACTAGGATAAGTCTCGGATTGGAGAAGACTAAGGAAATGTAAAACTAAATGTAAGGGGTGGGGGACAAAGTGTTGTAATTTTAAATACACAAGGAATTCCTTACTGAGATGACTTCACACCTGAAGTAGGTGAAGTAGGAAGCCATCTGGATGTCTAGAGGAAGAGCATTCCTGGAGGATAACAAAGGCAAGGGCTTGGAGACAGGAGTATGTCCGATGTGTTTGAGGAATAGCAAGGAGGCCAGTATGGCAGGAGCACATGAAGAGAAGGGGAGAATGCTAACAGGGGAGATTAGAGATAACAAAGAGTAAGGTCATGAAGGCCTTGGAGGCCTTGGTAATGGTGCAGGAGTCCATTGTAAATGTGTTTCACCTCTATTCCGTTTGATTTCTGATGTTCTTTTATTCTGAGCCTGAAGGGGATAAAGTGTATAAGTATAAAATGTAATACCTAACATCTAGCACTGTGTGTAGTAGATGCTAACTCAGTGATTATTGAATTAGTGTACATGGTGAGATGTTTAGAAACATTTTAAAGATCATGTCTTCCCTTGCTAAAGGAATACTTTTCATTTTTAATTACTTCCTGTAACATAAATTAGGATTCTGATACCTCTGTATATTTTTAAAATGTAAAGGTTTTAAAATAATTTGTCACCTTCAATAATATCTATTTATGCTATTGAACAGATGTCTTAAATAAGCTTCTATTTTTATTAGTTTTAGTATTTGTAATAGAGTTTATTTTTCTTTGAAAATAACTCACTTTTTATATTTTCAAGGATTCAACATTTTTGTAAAAGTGAATTGATTTCATATCTTTTTTTTTTTTTTTTGAGATAGAGTTTTGCTCTTATCACCCAGGCTGGAGTGCAGTGGCACGATCTAAACTCAATGCACCCTCTACCTCCTGGGTTCAAGAGATTCTCCTGCCTCCGCCTCCCGAGTAGCTGGGGTTACAGGCATGTGCCACCATGCCCGGCTAATTTTGTATTTTTAATAGAGAAGGGTTTCTCCATGTTGGTCAGGCTGGTCTCAAACTCCCGACCTCAGGTGATCTGCCCGCCTCAGCCTCCCAAAGTGCTGGGATTACAGGCATGAGCCACTGTGTCTGGCCTGGATTTCATATCTTATTTAAATCCTATATTCAGATTGTTTTGTTTTAAAATCTTAAAATTTTTCTCTTTATTATCTTGTTTGGTTAAAGTGCCAGGTTTTTTTTGATGGAGGGGTCCTTATTTGTTTTTATCAGCATGGAGCAGTTAAGAAATTCACTTTTTCCCAAGGATTGTACTTATATCAGAGTTATGTGTAGGTTTTAAAAGTTCACTGGTCCACCTTTACGAATTTTAAGTACATCCATATAGTACAACTTTAATTCTGCTTGTTGATGGTGTTAATGTGTATGAGAGCCTTAGATTTAATGTTGAGTACTCAAGAGAGCAAGAGAGTGTACAAGGAGTGGATAGGCACAAAGTATTTGAACACACTGTCTTACATGTTTTCATAATGGCCAGGTAAGCTCTGTCTTTGCATTTTCTGGAAAAGTGTGCAAGTTTGTGGTGAGCACTGCTTTTTTTTTTTTTTTTTTTTTTTTTTAAACTTAGTACTTTGAATTAGTCTGAAAGATGAATCTGGGTTTGGCCAGTAATGAAGAGGTGAACAGGGAGTCATAATGTTGAAACTGGACATTCAGATCTTTATAGCATGATTTCCTTATTTTTCAAAGAGCGGAAGAATCCCATCGTTTATCATGTTCTGGTTGGACTTTCTTACTGTTTGCTGGAGTTGAACTTCAGAGCTATGGCGTCAACCCTGCTGTAATATCTCAGGGGAGCTCCTAGGGTGGGGCTGGTGCCATGGCTCACCCTCCAACCTTTCCTTCTTCACTTCAGCCTCCAGCTCTGAGCTTTCCAATCCCCAGAGTAGCAAATGTTGAAAGAAGTTGCACAGGTAAGTATGTGGTGGGGAAAGCCGGGGGAAAAATGGTACTGTCATCAGTATTTTGAGGGTGGATGTTGGGCCATTTTATCAATGAGTCATTTTGTTAGTTTAGAAATATAATGTTTGTTATCAATTATTTTTCTCATAAAACTCATAAATTATTTAAAAAATAGTGAAGAAATAATTTTAATTCTTGTTAGATGTGAAATAAGAAAAAAACCTTAATAAACTATTAATATTATAATGCAAAGGAAGGTTCTTACATTTTTTTAAACTTTATATTCTCCACAGTGTATATAGCAGGTCCAGAAAACCCATGTTCAAAAAAGAAGCTAAAAAAAAAGTTGGGGAAGGCCTAAGTCCATAGACTATAATTTTGCCATATGTAACTTGGTCTCAGGAGGAGGCAAGTTTTAGTTTTCTTCCACTAGCTTTAGATGTGCTATTTTTTCCTGAGGTATTAGGCAGGTAGCTATGTTTTAATCTTTACAGAAATAGAAATTTCAAACATCTTTTTCCTTGAAGTCTTGACAGGAGGACTGGAACATTTCTACCAATCTCTAGGTTTGAAGTTAACAAAAATAAGTATAGATATCTGGTACGTAATTCAGCAAATGTTTGTTGAACGAATGAATAAACTCATCAGATCCTGTGTCGTGTGTGTGTGTGTGAGAGAGAGAGAGAGATGCCAACACTCCTGGCATTTTCTCCTTGTCTGCCTTGCACTGGAAATCATGATCTAAACATCACAGATTTAATTTTGTAGGGATGTAGCTCTGGGTCTTCACTACCTTACTTTTGAGCTTCTTCTCAGAAAGCTTTCAAAACGTGTTTCTTTCGTTCTCCTACATCTATCCCATATAATTCATGTTCATTGATTTATAGATTTTTGCACATACAAGACATTCACATTAAACCCAAGAAAAACAGACTCTTAAGATGGCCCATGGTTGCTAAGTTTCTTCAGAGAAAGTATGTGAGGGTTAAAAGAGATTGGGGTTCTAGTGTATTTGGTATTTCAGGTCTCAAAACAAGTCATCAAAATACAGACTTCCCAGCAGTTTGTCTCCCTTTTTTTCTTGAGTTTTTTAGATAACTGGACGCTCTATATAAACACATCTCCCTCAGCAAAGTACATCCCGTTTTTTTCTCAATATGTATTCATATTCCCTTCCTTCCTCCCTCTTTATCAGACCCATCTTTGCCTACCGTCTTTTAAGGATTTAAAATATTCTCATTAGAAGATTTTCCTTCTGTATGCATAGAGGATTTGTTTTTATTCTAAATGTAGAGATTTTCTACTGTTATATGTCCTTCCATTTGTATTTTATAGTTTTACATCCTAATATTTAAAGATAAAGTACTACTTTAATTTTAGGCTCTATTATGTGAGTTCTCAACTCCAACTTCTTACTGCTCATAAGAGGTACTAATTATATTTAGTTCTTTAGTATATGTGTACTTTTTTCCTATGGATTAGCACTTTTTGAATAATTAGAATTTTGGTTTTAGGATGATGCACTTAGCTTTTAAAGCTTATATATTAATTGTTCAAATGTGAATCTATATAAAGCATATTGGTGCAGCACATTTTAAGATTCTAGAAAACCACAAAATCTGTTTATTCATGTTGAAACATACAGAACATATTCTCCCTAGATCAGAGTCAAACTTGTGGAGGTATTTGTAGCATTTTGGTAACACTCCCTAGAGAATTTGTAGACTTTGGGGGTGCATATTAAGGGATAACATACATGGCTTTTCAGAATATTTTCTGAATAAAGCAGCTTCAGACACCAGATTTTAGTTTTTGGATTAGGAAAGAGTGATGTGTTTTTCCACCCTCCCCTCCCCCACCAACACACACACACATACCCTCCCCATCTTTCAGATATAGGCCATCTTGTTTTATTGGATGAGCCCCCCAAAAATACACAGAAATATGCTAAATATTTCTGTAAACCTTGGAAAGGACTCTGCCAGGATATTTATCTACTCTCCAAAATAGTGATTGTGGAAGTGTTTGTATAGGTCCCTAGCTTTCTACTAAAGCCTATTTCCAACCAGTCATAGATTTTTGTGTGTGTGTGTATCTACATGTTAACTATCTTTGGTATTCATTGAGGCCTTTTTTGCTTATTTATGGTTATTCTGCATTGGCTAAAACAATGAGTTGCTCTTATTTGTTTCCATGCTATCGATTTGATGATTTGTAATTCTAGACTTTAAAATTTATCTATATCTTCACTTTTCTTAGATCCATCCTAAGCAGATTCATGAACTTTTCATTATACCTATATCATATTAAAAATATGAAACCATAGTATTCTAGAACTCGGAGGACTTGAATTTGTTTCTCACATGAAGAGTTTTTTTTTTTTTGGTAAAGATTTCCAGGTATTAATATCTTTGTTCTTTAAGAAGCTAGAATTTTTTTGTGCAGTGTAGGTGCCTTTCTGTCCTTTATTTAAGCCCCCCCCCCTTTTTAAATTGTTTTTCAAGAATTAAATAAAATTAGAATTATTTATAGTAGTTGCGAAGCAGGATAAGCAGTTTAAAATCCTATCACAAAAAATACTACTGAAACAAAAATATCTTTGTTAACAAATATTTCCAGGTTGTAACAATATAATATTTGATATACGAATATTCTACTTCCATAGAATTTGGGCAGTCTGTGAGATTTTTACCTATCATGTTTTCCCTCTAAAGGGCAATTATAAAAACGCTAGATTATCTTCAGGTATTAGGACTCCTCATCATTGGTTTCAGATGTTAATTGGCTACACCTTGATAAAAGGCAGATAAGTGTTAATGGCAGTTGGCTGTGATTTTATATTAAGTTTCTGCCTATTTTATAGCCAAGAACTTGTGCATATTTGTATATTGTTTGTTGATATTGAATATGGAATTCAGAGAGAAAATAAGAACTCAAATTCTAAATTACTCAGATCTCCATTAGGAAAACAGTGCCTGAGAAACACTTTTTCCCCCTTCTCAGGTACTGTATATCTTGCAGTTAGCAGTCTTCATCTTGTATAATGCAAGCAGACTACAAACTCTGTAGCTGGGAGTGAAAATTTGTTACTCAGTATGAAGCAGTGAATGAGACAATTGATTTTATCGTGTGACACCTGTACCAACATGTTAGCAGTAAAACTCCTCCCTACATTAGAGAATCTACAATAAAAAGTTGCTACTAGGGAATTGTTTTTGTTTTAACACAAGTTCTAGATGTGCCCTACATATGTAATGCTATAATGTCTACATTAGAGCTATTATAATGAAATTAAGAGTTTGGTTATAATTATCCTAATTCCTTGAAAGGTTAAATTGTGTTCACTATACTTAAGTACCTAAAAATGTTAGTTCTTTGGGAACATGGAAACCAGGTATATATAGCTTTTAGTAGTTATTTCTACTTATCTGAAGCCCTCCTTGGATAATAATTTTTTTTTGTTTTCATTTTTGAGACGTGGTCTCACTCTGTCACCCAGGCTGGACTGCAGTGGCGTCATCTTGGCTCACTGCAACCTCCGCCTCCCAAGTTCAAGTGATTCTCCTGCCTCGGCCTCCAAGTAGCTGGGACTACAGGTGCGTACCACCACGCCCAACTAATTTTTGTATTTTTAGTAGAGATGGGGTTTCGCCATGTTGGCCAGGCTGCTCTTGAATTCCTGACCTCAGGTGATCCACCCACCTCAACCTCTGGGAGTTGAGTGGGATTACAGGCGTGAACCACTGCACCTGGTGGATAATAATTTTTAATTGGTATAATAGTATTTCTTTTAAGCATAACTTCATTTTCAAATTAATGCAACTTTCTGTAAAATACATGTGATTAGTCTTGTAGAGACTGGCTTTTGTCTCACATGTCTATAATCAGTCATAATCAGTCCATTCTTGTTCTTGTGCTAAAGTGATCTTTTTGACACACATAAATATTCGATTGTGGTATACCCTACTTACCATTGTTCACAATATAAGGACCTTCCTCCTCCAATCGGCTTTTTATTTGCTCCTTACTGCTTTTCCCTTTACAAATTCAAGAACAAAACACACATTAAATTGTTAGTTGTATATTTGAGAGTCAGTGTACTATCATGGTTAAAAAGGGGGACTCCAGCAAATTGGTCTGGGTTCAAAACCCATCTCCGCATTTATCAGATATATAACCTTAGGAAGTTAACCTAACTTCTCTGGTCCTTAGCTACAAAATAGGGATAGTTAATTGTTCTTACTTTCTAGCGTTATCTTGATAATTACATAAATAAATTTTAAAGCATTTAGAATATTCCCTGGCACAATAATTTATTATTATTTTATAGTTATGATAAAGTGTTTTCAGAGACTGTATAAAACAAGAGTCCTAATTTAGTGTGAAAGTTTCAAAGAATGGGAGAAAGGGCATTTTAAGTAGCCGTATCAGCATATGCAAAGACCGGGACATGGAAACTAACTTCTGTTCTGAGTAACTGAAGGTATGGCAAGGGTTTGGTGGTGTCAGGGGACTTAGGAGAGAAGTTAGAGGTTACAAAACATCTTATAAGCCTTATTGATTTGGGAGTGCTGTTGAGGAATTTTTATCAGAAAGTCCATGAAGATAAATAATTTTTACTTTAAAAAATCACTTTGATGTGGGAGAGTAGAATTGAGGGGAAGAAGAATAGATTAATAAAGACCTGTTTGGAGGCTATTGGAGTGGCTTGTTCTAGTGTATTATTAGTCCGTTCTCATGCTAACAAAGACGTACCCGAGACTGGGTAGTTTATAAGGGAAAGAGGTTTAATTGACTCACATGGCTGGGGAGGTCTCACAATCGTGGCAGAAGGCAAATGAGGAGCAGTCACGTCTCACATGGCGGCAGGCAAGAGTGAATGTGTGCAGGGGAACCCCCCTGTATAAACCACCAGATCTCATGAGACTTATTTTTTTTTTAATTTTATTATTATTATACTTTAAGTTTTAAGGTACATGTGCACAACGTGCAGGTTTGTTACATATGTATACATGGGCCATGTTGGTGTGCTGCACCCATTAACTTGTCATTTAGCATTAGGTATAGCTGCTAATGCTGTCCCTCCCCCCTCCCCCCACCCCCCAACAGTCCCCGGTGTGTGATGTTCCCCTTCCTGTGTCCATGTGTTCTCATTGTTCAATTCCCACCTATGAGTGAGAACATGCGGTGTTTGGTTTTTTGTCCTTGCGATAGTTTGCTGAGAATAATGGTTTCCAGCTTCATCCACGTCCCTACAAAGGACATGAACTCATCCTTTTTTATGACTGCATAGTATTCCATGGTGTATATGTGCCACATTTTCTTAATCCAGTCTATCATTGTTGGACCTTTCGGTTGGTTCCAAGTCTTTGCTATTGTGAATAGTGCTGCAGTAAACATAAGTGTGCATGTGTCTTTATAGTAGCATGATTTATAATCCTTTGGGTATATACCCAGTAATGGGATGGCTGGGTCAAATGGTATTTCTAGTTCTAGATCCCTGAGGAATCGCCACACTGACTTCCACAATGGTTGAACTAGTTTACAGTCCCACCAGCAGTGTAAAAGTGTTCCTATTTCTCCACATCCTCTCTAGCACCTGTTGTTTCCTGACTTTTTAATGATTGCCATTCTAACTGTTGTGAGATGGTATCTCATTGTGGTTTTGATTTGCATTTCTCTAATGGCCAGTGATGATGAGCATTTTTTCATGTGTTTTTTTGGCTGCATAAATGTCTTCTTTTGAGAAGTGTCTGTTCATGTCCTTTGCCCACTTTTTGATGGGGTTGTTTTTTCTTGTAAATTTGTTGGAGTTCATTGTAGATTCTGGATATTAGCCCTTTGTCAGATGAGTAGATTGCAGAAATTTTCTCCCATTCTGTAGAAGCCTGTTCACTCTGATGGTCGTTTCTTTTGCTGTGCAGAAGCTCTTTAGTTTAATTAGATCCCATTTGTCAATTTTGGCTTTTGTTGCCATTGCTTTTGGTGTTTTAGACATGAAGTCCTTGCCCATGCCTATGTCCTGAATGGTATTGCCTAGGTTTTCTTCTAGAGTTTTTATGGTTTTAGGTCTAACATTTAAGTCTTTAATCTATCTTGAATTAATTTTTGTATAAGGTGTAAGGAAGTGATCCAGTTTCAGCTTTCTACATATGGCTAGCCAGTTTTCCCAGCACCATTTATTAAATAGGCAATCCTTTCCCCATTGCTTGTTTTTGTCAGGTTTGTCAAAGATCAGATGGTTGTAGATATGTGGCGTTATTTCTGAGGGCTCTGTTCTGTTCCATTGGTCTGTATCTCTGTTTTGATACCAGTACCATGCTGTTTTGGTTACTGTAGCCTTGTAGTATAGTTTGAAGTCAGGTAGCGTGATGCCTCCAGCTTTGTTCTTTTGGCTTAGGATTGACTTGGCAATGAGGGCCCTTTTTTGGTGCCATATGAACTTTAAAGTAGTTTTTTCCAATTCTGTGAAGAAAGTCGTTGGTAGCTTGATGGGGATGGCATTGAATCTATAAATTACCTTGGGCAGTATGGCCATTTTCACGATATTGATTCTTCCTACGTATGAGCATGGAATGTTCTTCCATTTGTTTGTATCCTCTTTTATTTCATTGAGCAGTGGTTTGTAGTTCTCCTTGAAGAGGTCCTTCACATCCCTTGTAAGTTGGATTCCTAGGTATTTTATTCTCTTTGAAGCAATTGTGAATGGGAGTTCTTTCATGATTTGGCTCTCTGTTTGTCTGTTATTGGTGTATAAGAATGCTTGTGATTTTTGCACATTGATCTTGTATCCCGAGACTTTGCTGAAGTTGATTATCAGCTTAAGGAGATTTTGGGCTGAGATGCTGGAGTTTTCTAGATATACAGTCATGTCACCTGCAAACAGGGTCAATTTGACTTCCTCTTTTCCTAATTGAATGCCCTTTATTTCCTTCTCCTGCCTGATTGCCCTGGCCAGAACTTCCAACACTGTGTTGAATAGGAGTGGTGAGAGAGGGCATCCTTCTCTTGTGCCAGTTTTCAAAGGGAATGCTTCCAGTTTTTGTACATTCACTGTGATACTGGCTGTGGGTTTGTCATAGATAGCTCTTATTATTTTGAGATATGTCCCATCAATACCTAATTTATTGAGAGTTTTTAGCATGAAGAGCTGTTGAATTTTGTCAAAGGCCTTTTCTGCATCTATTGAGATAATCATGCCGTTTTTTTTCTTTGGTTCTGTTTATATGCTGGACTACGTTTATTGATTTTCTTATGTTGAACCAGCCTTGCATCCCAGGGATGAAGCCCACTTGATCATGGTGGATAAGCTTTTTGATGTGCTGCTGGATTCGGTTTGCCTGTATTTTATTGAGGATTTTTGCATCAATGTTTATCAAGGATATTGGTCTAAAATTCTTTTTTTGTTGTGTCTCTGCCAGGCTTTGGTATCAGGATGATGCTGGCCTCATAAAATGAATTAGGGAGGATTCCCTCTTTTTCTATTTATTGGAATAGTTTCAGAAGGAATGGTACCAGCTCCTCCTTGTACCTCTGGTAGAATTCGGCTGTGAATCCATCTGGTCCTGGATTTTTTTGGTTGGTAAGCTATTAATTATTGCCTCCATTTCAGAGCCTGTTATTGGTCTATTCAGAGATTCAATTTCTTCCTGGTTTAGTCTTGGGAGGGTGTATGTGTCAAGGAATTTATCCATTTCCTCTAGATTTTCTAGTTTATTTGTGTAGAGGTGTTTATAGTATTCTCTGATGGTGGTATGTATTTCTGTGGGATCAGTGGTGATATCCCCTTTGGCATTTTTTATTGCATCTATTTGATTCTTCTCTCTTCTTTATTAATCTTGCTAGCGGTCTATCAATTTTGTTGATCCTTTCAAAAAACCAGCTCCTGGATTCATTAATTTTTTTGAAGGGTTTTTTGTGTCTCTATTTCCTTCAGTTCTGCTCTGATTTTAGTTATTTCTTGCCTTCTGCTAGCTTTTGAATGTGTTTGCTCTTGCTTCTCTAGTTCTTTTAATTGTGATGTTAGGGTGTCAATTTTAGATCTTTCCTGCTTTCTCTTGTGGGCATTTAGTGCTATAAATTTCCCTCTACACACTGCTTTGAATGTGTCCCAGAGATTCTGGTATGTTGTGTCTTTGTTCTCGTTGGTTTCAAAGAACATCTTTATTTCTGCCTTCATTTCGTTATGTACCCAGTAGTCATTCAGGAGCAGGTTGTTCAGTTTCCATGTAGTTGAGAGGTTTTGAGTGAGTTTCTTAATCCCGAGTTCTAGTTTGATTGCACTGTGGTCTGAGAGACAGTTTGTTATAATTTCTGATCTTTTACATTTGCTGAGGAGTGCTTTACTTCCAACTATGTGGTCAACTTTGGAATAGGTGTGGTGTGGTGCTGAAAAGAATGTATATTCTGTTGATTTGGGGTGGAGAGTTCTGTAGATGTCTATTAGGTCCACTTGGTGCAGAGCTGAGTTCAATTCCTGGATATCCTTGTTAACTTTCTGTCTCGTTGATCTGTCTAATGTTGACAGTGGGGTGTTAAAGTCTCCCATTATTATTGTGTGGGAGTCTAAGTCTCTTTGTAGGTCACTAAGGACTTGCTTTATGAATTTGGGTGCTCCTGTATTGGGTGTATATATATTTAGGATAGTTAGTTCTTCTTGTTGAATTGATCCCTTTACCATTGTGTAATGGCCTTCTTTGTCTCTTTTGATCTTTGTTGGTTTAAAGTCTGTTTTATCAGAGACTAGGATTGCAACCCCTGCCTTTTTTTGTTTTCCATTTGCTTGGTAGATCTTCCTCCATCCCTTTATTTTGAGCCTATGTGTGTCTCTGCACATGAGATGGGTTTCCTGAATACAGCACACTGATGGGTCTTGACTCTTTATCCAATTTGCCAGTCTGTGCCTTTTAATTGGAGCATATAGCCCGTTCACATTTAAGGTTAGTATTGTTATGTGTGAATTTGATCCTGTCATTATGATGTTAGCTGGTGATTTTGCTCGTTAGTTGATGCAGTTTCTTCCTAGCCTTGATGGTCTTTACAATTTGGCATGTTTTTGCAGTGGCTGGTACCGGTTGTTCCTTTCCGTGTTTAGTGCTTCCTTCATGAGCTATTTTAGGGCAGGCCTGGTGGTGACAAAATGTCTCAGCATTTGCTTGTCTGTAAAGTATTTTATTTCTCCTTCACTTACGAAGCTTAGTTTGGCTGGATATGAAATTCTGGGTTGAAAATTCTTTTCTTTAAGAATGTTGAATATTGGTCCCCACTCTCTTCTGGCTTGTAGAGTTTCTGCCGAGAGATCAGCTTTTAGTCCGATGGGCTTCCCTTTGTGGGTAACCCGACCTTTCTCTCTGGATGCCCTTAACATTTTTTCCTTCATTTCAACTTTGGTGAATCTGACAATTATGTGTCTTGGCGTTGCTCTTCTCGAGGAGTATCTTTGTGGAGTCCTCTCTATTTCCTGAATGTGAATGTTGGCCTGCCTTGCCAGACTGGGGAAGTTCTCCTGGATAATATCCTCCAGAGTGTTTTCCAACTTGGTTCCATTCTCCCCGTCACTTTCAGGTACACCAAGTAGATTTGGTCTTTTCACATAGTCCCATATTTCTTGGAGACTTTGTTTATTTCTTTTTATTCTTTTTTCTCTAAACTTCTCGCTGCATTTCATTCATTTCGTCTTCCATCGCTGATACCCTTTCTTCCAGCTGATCTCATTGGCTACTGAGGCTTGTGCATTCGTCACGTTCTCGTGCCGTGGTTTTCAGCTCCATCAGGTCCTTTAAGGACTTCTCTGCATTGGTTATTCTAGTTATCCATTCGTCTAATTTTTTTTCAAGGTTTTTAACTTCTTTGCCATTGGTTCGAACTTCCTCCTTAGTTCGGAGTAGTTTGATCTTCTGAAGCCTTCTTGTCTCAACTCATCAAAGTCATTCTCGGTCCAGCTTTGTTCCGTTGCTGGTGAGGAGCTACATTCCTTTGGAGGAGGAGAGGCGCTCTGCTTTTTAGAGTTTCCAGTTTTTCTGCTCTGTTTTTTCCCCATCTTTGTGGTTTTATCTACCTTTGGTCTTTGATGATGGTGACGTACAGGTGGGTTTTTGGTGTGGATGTCCTTTCTGTTTGTTAGTTTTCCTTCTAACAGCCAGGACCCTCAGCTGCAGGTCTGTTGGAGTTTGCTGGAGGTCCACTCCAGACCCTGTTTGCCTGGGTATCAGCAGCGGTGGCTGCAGAAGAGCAGATATTGGTGAACCACAAATGCTGCTGCCTGATCATTCCTCTGGAAGTTTTGTCTCAGGAGTATCTGGCCGTGTGGGGTGTCAGTCCGCCCCTACTGGGGGGTCAGGGACCCACTTGTGGAGGCAGTCTGCCCGTTCTCACATCTCAAGCTGTGTGCTGGTAGAACCACTACTCTCTTCATAGCAGTCAGACAGGGACATTTAAGTCTGCAGAGGTTACTGCTGCCTTTTGTTTGTCTGTGCCCTGCCCCCAGAGGTGGAGCCTACAGAGGCAGGCAGGCCTCCTTGAGCTGTGGTGGGCTCCACCCAGTTCGAGCTTCCTGGCTGCTTTGTTTACCTACTCAAGCCTTGGCAATGGCGGGCACCCCTCCCCCAGCCTGGCTGCTGCCTTGCAGTTTGATCTCAGACTGCTGTGCTAGCAATGAGCCGGGCTCCGTGGGCGTAGGACCCTCTGAGCCAGGTGCGGGATATAATCTGGTGTGCCTTTTGTTAAACCTGTTGGAAAAGTGCAGTATTAGGGTGGGAGTGACCCGATTTTCCAGGTGCCATTCGTCACCCCTTTCTTTGACTAGGAAAGGGAATTCCCTGACCCCTTGGGCTTCCCGGGTGAGGCGATGCCCCGCCCTGTTTCGGCTCACGCATGGTGCGCCGCACCCACTGTCCCGCACCCACTGTCCGGCACTGCCCAGTGAGATGAACCCGGTACCTCAGTTGGAAATGCAGAAATCACCCATCTTCTGCGACACTCATGCTGGGAGCTATAGACTGGAGCTGTTCCTATTCGGCCATCTTGGCTCCACCCTCATGAGACTTATTCACAATCATGAGAACAGCACAGGAAATACCCGCCTTCATGATTCAGTCACCTCCCACGGGGTTCCTTCTGCGACACGTGGGGATTATTACAGTTCAAGGTGATATTTGGGTTCAGACACAGAGCCAAACCATATCAGCTAGGAAATGACCGTAGAGATGAAAAGATATTGATGATATAAATAATTTCAATAAATATATAGGGTTGGTTTGATCAGCTTGAATTTTAATTGTTGAAGATCACAAAGGTTACAGACAGCATTTTTGAGAGTTAAAGTGACATTTTTCAGAGATTACCATGAACAGTAACAACTGTGAATAGCCAAAATTAAGCTGAAACATAAGATTTGTGTTGGGTTCTAAGATAGTTAGTGCTGCAAAGTCATGTTGAGGTGATGATCTCAGGGATTTTTAGGTGTATCCTCTGTGTATCTTCAGGCCTGCCTCTTACTTCGTTGGTTCCCTAATTGCCATTCATCCTGCCTGTATCAGGGACCACTTTACCCGTCTTCTCTGAAGTTCTTGGTTATTTTATCTGAAGTTTGTTTTTTTTTTTTTTTTTTTTTGGTAAATTTCTGTGATTATTCTGATTTACCACATTTGGCTTTGAAATACTGTATTTAAATGTTGAGAATGTCATGCCTTAGGAATTCATAGCTAGTCTAAACTAAATAATGAAGGAGGAATATACTGGGAAAATCCAGCCAACTTAAGTGGCTCCATTACGTCTTCCAGTTTAATTCTTTATTACTTTCTGAGACCAATTCCTTTTGGGGATTTGGTTTGGTACAGAGGATTAGCTTACTTATCTCTGTATTTTTAATTTAATTTTATTTTATTTTAAGACGTAGTCTCGTGGTGTCGGCCAGGCTAGAGTGCAGTGGCATGATGATCTTGGCTCACTGCAACCTCCACCTCCTGGGTTCAAGCAGTTCTCCCACCTCAGCCTCCTGAGTAGCTGGGATTACAGGTGCATGCCACCATGCCTGGCTAATTTTTTGTATTTTTAGTAGAGACAGGGTTTCACGTTGTTGGCCAGGCTGGTCTTGAACTCCTGACCTCAAGTGATCTGCCTGCCTTGGCCTCCCAAAGTGCTGGCATTGTAGGCATGAGCCACCATTCCTGACCTCTGTTTACTTTTTAGAATATGCTGCTTAGTTCTTATGAAATCAAAGGAAAGATTAAATGTCTTGATTAAACGTTTTAGATCTGTGTTCAAAAAAGGTTTAAGAAACATTGGTTTTGCTACATGCATATATTCTTTCCTGGTAAAAAAAAATCTCAATTTGTCTTAGAAAGTCTGGTGTGAGTGTCAAGTAAAAAGGTGGTCACTTAACAAAGTATATATAAGCCCTTGACTTGTTTGCTTGAATAAAGCTGACAAATTGTACACACCAAAGATTCTAATGCTGTATATCCAAGATGAAGTCTGATTTAATTTTAAACTACAGCCATAGTTTAAACTACAGCCATAACAATGGGAGTACATTCTGAGAAATGCGTCAGGCACTTTTGTGAATGTGGACCATACTTAAACAAACCTGGATGATATAACCTCTTGCTCCTAGGCTATAAACATGTACAGCATATTGCTATACGAATTCTGTAGGCAGTTGTAACACATTGGTATTTGTGTATTTAAACATACCTAAACACAGAAAGGGTACAGTGAAAATAAGATACAAAACATTTTTTTAAAAAGGTTACACCTTTATAGGGCACTTATCATAAACGGAGCTTGCAGAACTGGAAGTTGTTCTGGGTAATTCAGTAAGTGGTGTGTGAATGTAAAGGCTTAGGACATTACAGTATACTACTGTGGACATTGGAAACACTGTACACTTAGGCTACACTAAATTTATTTAAAAATTTTCATTCTCGAATAATGAGTTAACCTTAGCTTACCGTAACTTTTTTACTTTATAACCTTTTTAATTTTTTAAAATCTTTTGGACTCTTTAATACTTGACTTAAACACGTACAGCTGTACAAAAATATTTTCTTCCCTTATATTCATACTTAGCTTTTTTCTATTTGAATTTTTTTGTTTTTTTACTTTTTAGATGTTTTTGTTTTGTTGAAAACTGATACACACACTCATGTATTTGCTTAGGTCTATCAAGGCATCACTAGGCAATAGGAATTTTTCAGCTTGTTTATAATCTTACGGGACCACCGTTGTATATATGGTCCATCATTGACTGAAATGTCATGCTGCACATGACTGTCGTTTATTAAAATTTTTATTTACCAAATTAACTTTTTAACATACGTTGTAACCAGTAATTTCAATGTATTTCGATATAATTGACATATCCTCTTTGAAATTTATAGAAATTGATTTTTATGTACCCTAATTTCTCTTTCAGGGAGAAGATGGGTATAGTTTAACCCTTTCATATCATCCATCCATCCATTCCTACTAGTTCTGCCTCAGAGTATATCCTTTATTCAACTACTACTCACCACCCTATTAGGCCATCATTATCTATCACTGGCCTCCTAATGCATTTTCCTGCTTTCGTTTTATACCCTCTTTAGCCCATTCCTCATGGAGTAGCTAGGACCTTTAAAAAAAAAAAAAAGCCAAATTAAGTTACTCTTAAGCTTCGCCTAAATCCTCTCTTGATTTCCCGTCTAACAAAGAATAAAATCCAAAGTCTCTCAGGCTCTCGAGGTGTACTATATGGTCTAGCCCCAACCAGTCTCTCTGACATGAGTTCCTACCCTTCACCACCTAAGTTCATGCTGCCTGAGCCATACCAGTGAGGGGTTTACTGACCCTCTGAACTGACTGCTTTTCCTTCAAGCATTTGCCTGGTCAGTTACTTCTCTGCTTGTTTTCATCTCAGTTTTATGTTCCCTGATTATTTTTAAATACTTCCTACCCTGTTCCATCATTCTATGTAGAATAAAGGACGGGCACTTTAAAATTAAATAAATCTAGCTTTATGAAAAACCTGTGTTGTCTTTTTCTCTTGTGATTTTGCCATGGATTAGAATTGTCTCATACCAGCACCCATCTCTGGATGGGGGTTTGCATTCATGGGGGAGAGTAAAACACCCTTACCTCTCCCTCCCTCCATCTGTCTTTCTCTCTGTCTCACTCTCGTTTTGTTTTTTAATTATTTGCTGAAGTCATGTAAGAATAATTAGTATTGTCACTGATGTGTAATTTCTGTGCCAGAGCACACAAAACAGAAATTAAGCTTAAGTTTGGTATATTTTCTCTCTCTCTCTCTCTCTCTCTCTCTCTCACACACACACACACACACACACAGTGACTCTTGAGAAAATCTGGTATTGATGGAAAAGGAACATTTCTTCATTTTCTTTCGTCTGGAACATATGTTTAATTTTGCCTTCAAACCAAACCTTTTTGCAAGATATTAAGCATAAAAATTTTAATTCTATACAATTAATTTCAATTTTAGAATTCTAGGAGTCTATAATGGTCTTGATGATAAGTGTTATACAAACAGTGTCAAAAGAAGAGTTTATCAATTTGAGCTTATTTATGTGTATAAAATTTGATGAGAGATGCCTTGATATTCACCTGAAACTTTATTGAATAATTATTGAATTATGCATTTTCCATGTTTATTCTTTCTTAGAATTAGAGCTCAATAGTAAGAGTTCTATAAAGATAATTAAATGTATCTTTAACTTTCAAAAAACAAACTTCTAAAATCTTATGTGTAGTGAATCTTAATTTGCAAGCTCTAAAGTGATTTTTTGCCACTGTTTCCTTTTTGAAATTACTCACTAAGAAACATCTGTTTTCCCCCTAGTAGGGACTACTTAGGGAGCTGGTGGATAGGCATGCGGGATCCTGGTCTGAAATAACAGAGTTACAGAATAGCATTCTGAGATTCACCAGGAGTCTGTTTCCCAAAAAAAGATTAAGTACCTGTGTTCTAATAAATTGTTAGACCCTTAAAAAATATCTTTGTATATTTCACACCTCAAGCGATTACTTGCCTAAAAGCATATAGCAAAGTAATAGGTTAGCTGTCCTTAGACTTTATTTATACCTGACTGAATAGGTTTTCAGACCTCAGGAGGAAAGACAGTCAAATAATTAAGTTTCCTACATATTTAACAGGGAACTTAAAATATATAAGAAATATTAAACAGCATGGGTGCTTTCAACAGAGTTACACGTAAAGTTTGGCCTTCAAAGTCTGCAACATAGTTCACCACGTCTACTGATATGTAATAGTGACTACAGCATTTTTTGAAATGAGACATGGAAATTGTTCACTCATTTATAATGGAAGGAAATATTCTTAGTCATAATGAATGTACAAGACAGATATCAAATTTGAGATGAGTTTTCCCCAAAAATGTACTTGTGAAAAGACATAGTCACCTTGTATTCAAGTCTTTAAAATCTCTTTTCTCATTGACATTGGTTTACCTTGATTTTCAAAGTACTGTTAGGAGAAAGACACATTGACCTTAAATAACTTTAGTCAGTTAATAGTTTTGATAATTTTATAGAGGTCACATTTTAAAAATAATTAAAAATTAAAATTAGCACAGATTTTAATAATTACAGTTGGCCCTTCATACCCATGGGTTCTGCATCTGTGGGTCAACCAGCTGCAGATTGAAAATATTTGGGGAAAAATAATGGATGGTTGTGTCTGTACTGAACATGTACAGACTGTTTTTTCTTGTAATTATTCCCTGAGCAATACAGTGACTATTTATATAGCATTTACATTGTATTAGATATTATAAGTAATCTAGAGATGATTTAAAGTATATGAAAGGATGTGTGTAGGTTATATGCAAATATTATAAACCATTTTATGTGAGAGAATTGAGCATCCGTGGATTTTATTTTTTAATCCATGAGGGGAGAGGTCCTAGAACCATTTCTTCACAGATAGCAAGTGACAACAATTTATGTTGGTGTGAGCTCAAAATTGCTAATGTTGGATGTTACAAAGACTGGAAAAACAAATGAATAAGCAGGTTATATCATTGAAATAATAACTTTATACCAGTATGATCAATGAAAGATTGTACTTCAGTTACATGAGTGGGTACTTGCTTGAGATAAAATTCTAGTATGCCACTATATATGCACTGATTCAAAAAACGGTATATTTCAGTAAACTTAGATTGTAAGGAAAGATGAATGCTTGGGAAAACAGATAACTGAGAAAATAAGGTGATGACAGATACACAAATGTGGAAGATGCATGTGAAGATTTTGAATAATTAAACCTAAACTTAATTTTTAAAAAATCTATGTATGGGAAAATGATATTGGCCATTTTTGAAGAGTAAGGTATACTTAGTTTTTTAAAAGGAAATGGAATTGTTAAGATAGGCTTTATGTGATTCTCCTACTTTTAGGGTCTGGAAATAAACATCTAACACTTTATTGTTATAATCAGATTTATGACTTTATCACATGCGCCACTAGCCATTAGTTGATCAATTTCTGTATCTTAGCAATGCTCCCTTCATGTTCTGTTTTCCACATAGGAGTAAGGTAACACTGAACATTTTCCAAAGTATTACCCCTGATAAAAGTAATATTTTTGTTTAGGTGACAAACAGCATGTTTGGTGCTTCAAGAAAGAAGTTTGTAGAGGGGGTCGACAGTGACTACCATGACGAAAACATGTACTACAGCCAGTCTTCTATGTTTCCACATCGGTCAGAAAAAGATGTAAGTTAATCAATTATGTTGTATTTTTTCAGCAATGTAAGTCTGTGTCTGGGTTCCTGAAAAACAGCATATCAAGTGCAGAATACTGTCTGTGGTTGAGTGACAATCTTTTCAGCACAGTGCTAGTCCCTTTGGTGCTTGTATCCTTTTGGGATACAAAGACAATGAATTTGTATTCTAATGGGGAAAATAAATATCCCATGATTCTCAAATTGGGATATGGTAATACTGTGATAGAAGTACTCAAAGACATGGAGTAAACATGGTATAACTTCTAGATCACTGATTTTTTTTGTTTGTTCAATATGGGAAATAACTTGTTTGATATTAAAACAAATGCAGATATAGAACAGAAAGCAGATTTACGCAGACTTGAAGATATAATGGCAAGCTGTAATAAAACTTTATGCTTATTGTGTCATCTAGCTGTAATTCTGGACCTCAGGTGTATCTCTCCTCTGTTCAGCCATAGGGATACTATAATAGGAAAAATTTGGAAGAACTGTATTCAAAATGTGATGGATGATATAGAGATATGAATTAAATGCTTTGGAAGGCTAATAGTTCAATAATCCCATTTGGGATAAAAGGATTTAGAATGCAACCAAGTCATAATTAGCAAATTTATAAAATACTTAAAAATGAATGTAATTACTAAAATTCTGTTAAGCTACTTTAAATTATACAATGTACTCTCTAGTCACACCAGTTGCATTCTTATACTTTGTACACCTGCCCAGCTTTTTTTACCTTTCACACTTTATAAACTTGCTATGCCAAATCTCCTTATGTATAAAACAATCTACTCTAGCTATTAACCTAATGAGATTTATACTGATGTTTGAAGCATTTATAAAGTTCTAAGATATGGAACAAATGCCCTTGTTTTTCTTTGAAGTTGATCATTAGTAAATCACTTCCTTTGACTTTGCAGAATTTTGCAAATCAGCTTAACCTACTAGGTTTATGTTAGGATGTTTGTTATTCTGTTTTTGTATTTTCCTTTTTTATTTTGATTTGAACATTCTTGTGTCATTTTGAAAACAAACTATCAATGGCATTATTGGGCTTTTTTCAACTAATGTGTGTTGTGGCTTTGTTGATAATTAGTGTGTAGTTTAATAGCTTATGGAATAATGTCATCTAATTTTCTGTTATCTTATTGCGCTTTTAGCTATGTGCTATGTAACTTATAATTGAATTATTATTTACACAGGTTTCTATTTAAGTATTGACCTTGTAAATAAAGAATTTGGGATATATTTTTGGTAGTATCGCCGCAGAAACGAAAACCTACAATTTGTGTGTATTGCTGTGATTATATAATGAAAGTTAAGTTTGCTTGGAAAATGTTAATGAAATATTTATTACTGATGAAATGCATTTATTCTAATTAGGAAGATAGGAAGCTTTCAGACTGAAATCTAAAAGTATATAAAGAGAATGAATGACAAAGAGATATATGTCTTCTCAAAAGCAGAAATACTATATGTCTACATTTTAAAATCAGAATTAGTATATATACTTACACACATACTCACAAATGTTGGCCACCATTCTGATCCAGCTGGTTGGCACAGAAGTAACAGAATGGTTTGATTCACAAAACCTTTTTTAAAAAAACATTAATTAAGAACATAGTATGGCATAGGAATTAAGAACTTGGACTCTAAAGCAATACAAATATGTGTGTTTGGATCCTGACTTTGCCTGTTAGCAAGAACTTCTCCAAGTCTCAGTTTCCTTTTCTGTAAAAATAGGAGTAATAATATATTGGCTACCTTATACATTGGCTGCTGTTGCTGTTACTTTTTTAAAATTACAAAATAGCACAGGTAAATTATACAAATTTTTAAAAATACACTTGAAGAAAAATTACCTATAATGCTATCAGAAATAATTGCTAAAATTCTAATTTTATGCTTTAAATATTTTTATTGAAAAATACACAATTATTTAAATCTTCTAGGTCATACAGACATATTTTCCATCAAAAAGTTTGTACCAGTTTTTACTGTAATCACCACTCTCCATGCCAACAAGAATACCAGCAATTACATTTAAGTCTTTGCTAATAGACAAGCTTATTGTTTTCATGTACATACAGTAAAACATCATTAATTTTACACACACACAGTGTGATGGGTCTTTTCCATATAGTTATTGGTCATTTGTATTTCTTCCTTTGTGTACCTTTTTTGTGTCATTTTCTATTTCTCTATTGAGATCTTAAGTCTTACTAGTTTGCATTCTCCATGTATTGAGGATAACAACCTCTTGTCATTCATTACAAATATTTTCCCAGTTTTTCACCTTTAATTCTTGGTATATGTAGTATACGTATATTTGTCATTTTAATTAAATGTGATCCATCAGTCTTATTTTTAAATGGCTTCTGTTTTCGAGATCATACTTAGGAAGACATTTCCCAATTACTTTCTTATAATACTTTTATGTTTTGTTCTTCACATATAATTTATGTCCATTAGAAATGTGTTTTGGTTTAACCTGTGAATTGTAGGGTTCCAAATACTTTTTTTTTCTACAAGCTTATCCAATTGCACCGACACCATTTATGCTTTAAATCACGGGTCAGAAAACTTTCCCTTAAAGAACCAGATAGTAACTATTTTAGGCTTTGTGGACCAAGAAGCAAAATCAAGGATATATATAAAATCAAAACCTATTTTGTATAATAGGCCTTTATATAACCATCTGTAATGTAAAAACTTTCTTAGTTCATGTATCTTACAAAAACAGGCAGTGTGCTGGATTTGTCCTGCAGGAAATAATTTGCCCACCCCTGGGTTAGATCATTAATTTATGGCTAATTAAAATATCCCTTTATTATATGTGCTAGTGTCTCATACATTCTTGGGCCTGTTTCTAAGATCTTGTTCTGTTTACCATACTGATCCTGTGTCAGAACTACAACATAATTGAATTGCCATAGCTTTGTAGACCACTTTAACATCTTGGGTAAGAATCTTTGACATCCTTTGTTTTAAAAAAATGGTTTTTGATTGTTGCACATTAATATCAATATAGATGGTTTTTCGGAAGGATATTTCTCCCTTTAATCTTGTTCTTTATGCGTTTTAATAGGGTTTTGCAGTTGCCATTTTCATTGCATTTTTCAGATTGGTTTTTACTGACCTATGGAATACTTTGTGTAGTTATTTTATAACAAACTGCCATGTAAAAGTCTTCTATTAGTTTTTGGTGATTGAGAATGTAAGCCCTGGAAATCCTACTATGTAAGTTTTTATGTCAGCTACCTGATTTGCTAGCTGTGTGTCTTAGGACATCAGTCTCTGTGTGTCTCAGTTTTCTCATCTGTAAAATAGGAACAATAGTACCTAGCTCATGAAGGATTTTTTTTTTTTAAGTGGGAGAATAGTTAGTGTTTGTGAGGGGGGCACTGAAGTGACTGCTGTAATTAAGACAGACTGTAGAAAATAGGTTAGCAATGAATATTGAAAACCTTTAAAATGTAAACATTCCTTGAGTCAGTCATATGTCTTTCCGTAAATTTGTACTTCAGCTGTAACCTGACATTCAGACAATATAATATAATGCCATACTTGTTTTTAACAAAAAATTTGAGGCTCAAGTGTTTAAGGAATTAAGTACATTGAGTATTACACTATTTTTCAAATGTTCCTTATGTAAGCTTAAGAATATTTTAATGAAAATTATTTGAAATACCTAGTAGATGCATATCATCAGTTACCTGATTTGTAAGCTACCCTGTTCTGTGACTTAATGACTATTTTATTTTACTGTCTGCCTCCTCCCTTGCCCCTTTTCTCTTTTGTTCTTGTTTGTTTGTTTGTTTGTTTGTTTGTTTTGGGGGATATTTTGAGACAGAATTTCGCTCTTGTTGCCCAGGCTGGAGTGTAATGGCACGATCTTGGCTCACAGCAACCTCCGCCTCCTGGGTTCAAGTGATTCTCCTGCTTCAGCCTTCTGAGTAGCTGGGATTACAGGCATGCATCACCACGCCCGGCTAATTTTTGTATTTTTAGTAGAAACGGGGTTTCTCCTTGTTGGTCAGGCCGGTCACGAACTCCTGACCTCAGGGGATCTGCCCTCCTCAGCCTCCCAAAGTGCTGGGATTACAGGTGTGAGCCACCGTGCCTGGCCTTGTTCTTTTTAATGTATTACCTTCTCATAGTTTTCTTTTTTTGTGCCTGTTTGCTAGATTTCATTAGTTTCATGTTTTAAGTTATCCGTTTTCCAATTTTAAAGGTTCTTTAGCTTCTGTCTAGATCTGGAACTCTTATGTGTGTGCATGCATATGCTTTCTTCCTTTTTCTTTGTCTCTTTTTCTCTTTGTAGATATGGTACAGTTAAAAAGTCATAATTCATTTGTGGTTTTTGTCCTGGAATAATAACATAGTGCTAGGAATTATATTATCACCATAATTTTGAGTATATTATACAGAGTCTTTTAAAAATAATATTTTAAAACTTAAATATCATTTTTTAATTGCTGTCATGGTCATGGAATTTTTATTTAACAAAATTTTGTTGTATTTCCTTGCAACAATTTGTGGATTTCTTTGACATTCTGTATATTAAAGGATAAAGAAGTTCTGTGAAGGGTTAGGGGAATAACCAGAATCACATTACTGTTTCTTCTAGTTGCTTCCTGGTTTTTATTGTTGTTGTTTGACTGCAGTGTGCATTGTAGATTTCTGAGAGATATGGAAGACCTGATTATTATGATGATTTTAGAGTGTGCTGTAACTTGTTGTTTTCAGCATTCTATTAATCTTTTTCTACCGTTTGCCACTCTTAAGAGCACAAGTTCTATGCCTTATTTTACCTGGAATTTGTGAAGATAAACTTTCTTTAGCCCCTTGGGCAAAAAGTTATATAAATTAAGGGTATTATTTAATACATTTCTCAAGAGTCTGAATGCCCCCTCTCACTCCTATTAATGAGAGTTCTGCAACTGAGGGGAAGATTAGATTATTAGCAGCTGCTGCTACCATTTATTGAGCACATACTATATGCCATATCTTATTTCATTTAACCTATACTTCAGCTCTGTGAGGTAGGTAGTTATTTTCATTTTATAGGAAGGAAACCAAGTATTGGTTGTTCCATAGGTAAGTGGCAGAACCAGGATTCAAACCCAGATTATTTCTGACTCCAAAACTAGACTCTTTTTACTTGTGCTGCATCCCCTACTGTAATGTGTTTCTTGATCTAAAGTTTTATATTTTTCTAAGAAATTTACCTTTATATTATTAACTTTCAGAATTTAAAAAATATATACATTTTGTTTTCTGCTAATAGTACTTACTGTTCTGTCAGAGTATATTTCTTGTGCATTTTCTATACTCATAAAAAGCATTTCTGTGACATTCACATTTCTTCACTGTGTATTAAATCCATTTTTAGCACCGATTTGTTTGATGAAATATTGCCTTCAGAATTTAAAAGTACAGGTTCTTAGGGATAGACTTTATAAGAAATTAGATATTTGCATTTTTGACACATTTTGAGGCAGTAATTTTAAGATATGTCTGTATAGCTGATCGATGCTTATTTTACATGAATGTGTTGAAGGTTACAAACTCTTAAATTTAACATTAAACTACTTTTATTATTCCTGTAAAGCTGTGTTTACTAACCACCTTCATGTAGTGGCACATAGAGAAAATTGTATATAATATTACACACTGTGGTAAGTGAATCAGCCTACGGTTCTTGATCTCAAGTAATTGGCCTAGGGACCTACCACCTCTTTACCTTCATGCTCTGCTTCCCCTCCCTACTTACTCCCTCCTCCCATTTTGAGAGGGCAGGTAGATACCCAGGCATATCTGTAACTCATGGATGTATAATCAGTGTGAGAAAGTAGACTAAAATGTGTGTTGTCTGGAGTTAACTATTCAATAAACATAAATATCTGATGAAAAATGTTTTAAGTGTTTTGTTTGACAATATTCACATTATGGATTGTTCTAAGTCATGCATTTATGTTGGCCAGCATCTTATATTTGCAGCCTTTAGAAACAACTGTACTTTTTCATTTATAGCTTATAATGACAGAAAATCATGATTCTTAAGAATTTTATATAAATCTTTTACCTCCTTTTTTTGATGGTTGATTTGTATTACTATTAGGAAAACCAGATTTTAAGATATCAAGCATTATTTGGGATAAAGAAGGCCACTACATAATCATAAAAGAAAACTTACTAAAAAGGATAAAACTTCCTTTTTTATTTTTTAATTTTACTTTTAAGTTCCAGGATACGTGCGCACAACGTGCAGGTTTGTTACATAGGTATACATGTGCCATAAACCTTTTACCTTCTGTGATCAACTAAAGCTTTATTATATATTCTTGTTCTTGCAATTTGGAAATGAACTTTTAATATACCTACAAAATATTTTCAGTTAATGCAGTAACAGTAATCTATAATACCTAAGAAAAGAACTTATCAGGCATCTTTTGATCTGTTGGGTTATAATTGGGAAAGAATATATAGTTTAATTGTATAGATAAAGGATGTTAGTTTAATTATCTAGGTTGCACAACCTCTGGATTTGGGAGGGAATATTTATAAGGTTTGATTTTTTTTTTTTTTTTTTTTTTTTTAGAAAAATCACTACTGTCGTATTAATATTACTGTTTTCTTTAGAGTGGTGTATAACTCAGCCCTACCTCAAGAGTTACTGATGTGTACCATTGGTCTAAAACTATAGTATAAAAAATTTTGCAAACTTTAGTATAATTGAAACAACTTAGAATTTTGACATGAAAATAGTATGAAATGTATATTGTAAAACCTCTACCCTTTAAATGTTTTACCTCAGCACCACAAGACAGGGTGAGAAAATAGAAAAAAAAACAAACAAAAATACATGTTTCACTTCTTGGTTTTTCTAACTGTGGTCAGTGTCAGCATGATTTTTCATCCCTGGAAACCACAGATCAGCCTCTGATAGTTCTCTCTTTTGTGAGTCTCCATTAACCTCCTTTTCCCGTTATACCCCAGCTAGTCAACAGGACATAAAATAACTGTTACTTCTACCACCAGAATGCGTCTTATTTTTAGTCTCACTTCTGCTGTTGTCGTTTAGTATCTCAGCATATCCCATTTCTGCTATTAGAGGTATCTTCCCAAAACCCATTTTGATTGCCACCTTCTTGCTTAATATTATTTTTCTTTTTATTGCTATAGTTGGTAGCCATTCTTGTATGACATTTATTTCGCATTCTTCTATGCCATAACATGGGTGAGCTTTATCTCCAAATAGAGATGAACTTTATCTCCTTTCATAGTTATCCTATCACCACTGTTTATGTTCTCTAATAATATTACAAATCTTTATTTTTTTTAACAACTGGATACTGGGTTTTTGTGTTCAATTTTTAAATTTTTGTTCAATTTTTTTGAATTTCAATAGTTTTGGGGGTACAGGTGGTTTCTGATTACATTACTAACCTTTGTTACACTTATACTCACTGCATATTCTTGAGGGAAGACCCCTTCATTGTATGTACCTAAATGTTACCACTCTATAGAGTATTCCTGATACCTTTGTGTAGCTCCAGTGATGTTTCATGTTTCCTTTAGAGCATTTACCACACTGTGCCTTAAAATATAATGAGTTGTATAATTCATTCTCTTTCCCCACTAGATTGTAAGCCCCTTGATGACATGGCTCATGTCTTATTTAATTAGGATGTTTTGATGGTTGTCTAATATAAGACAGGAAATACGCAAATATGCACACACACATATTTTCATTTACTCAGCTTCAGTATTTACTTTTGAGTATATAACACTGCTACATTCATTTCTATGAGGATATATATAATGAATGTATGTTCTGTGAACATATCTTCAAATAATTTACATCTACAAGGAAAAAAAAATGGATAAATTCAAAGGCATTGTACAAGTGCCATGAAGTTCACATCACAAATACATAAATTATATACCATGTCTATATAATTTTATTTTTTTAACTTGCTAAGTGAAAGAGTAGTGCTGCTGTAACTCAAGTTAGTGTGACTTTTAGAAAACTTATAGTATTAAAAATTAATTTCATTTCTACAGTTTGGTTTTATCGAATTGTGATATTCTCTTAAGAAACATGGAATATATTATAGAATGTTTGTTTTATGTTTTTCTGAAGAATGAGAAAATGTTAGATTTTCACATTTATGGTATGATTTACAGATTTGTGGAGTGTAAATGCAATGCTCTGCTCTGTTTTCTTTATGCTCTAATATAATTAATTTGTTTCTAGATGCTGGCATCACCATCTACATCAGGTCAGCTGTCTCAGTTTGGGGCAAGTTTATACGGGCAACAAAGTAAGAATTTTGTATTTATTCTGGGATACTTTATTTAAAGAGAAAAATAAGTAACTACCAAATAAAGAACAACCAGTACTTCCTTTGTGGGTTTATTGTATGACTTAAAAGGAAAAATGTTTAATTTTCAGAGTTTTATTTTACTTACATAGCAAAACCTCATTATTTCAGACCTTATTGATCCTATGGTTGCTATTACTTGGATATAGCATAGATTGAAATTTATTTCAACATCTTTTACATCTGTAAATTTTTTGCAGTATTTTTGAAGAATTTGCTAAACTAAAAATAGACATTCTCTGTGTTTTCAATTAAAGGAAGTTAAAAGCTTTTTTAGTTTATTTGACTGGCTACTCTGTGTGTGTGTGTGTGTGTATGTGCACGCCTGTTTATTAAGTAAACTCATTACTTAGCAGTTTGTAAAATGTTCTTTGTTTCACAAGTATTTCTTAAATATTTCTTCTTTTGCTTTAGCTCAGTCTGGATATAGAATCTAGATTTTTGACTCACGGTTTAATGCTTGTTCCGTTTTGCAGGCTTCTACTTCTATTTTTTTAAAGTGTTGTAATACTTTTAAAGCGCTTAGCACAGAGCCTAGTGCATAGTAAGTGCTCAATAAATGTTAGCTATTATCACATAAAATTTTTATAAAACTAAACAATAAAATATCTTTATATTTTCTCAAATTAACTTCCCAAATTGTTAAATATTAGTATGATTTTATCATCTCTGTTAATGTCAGATCTGTTGATCTCCCATTTCTGTTAATGTAATCTCTGTTAATAGAAGAAGGGAATTAAAAGTGTTATAAATTCCCATCAGACATTATAGGATAATTGAATAACTGAAGAAGACATCTGATGACTATCCTAACCAGTTTCAAGTAAAAATCAATAATTTGATTTGGAACTCTCCCAGTATAATGAAAAGCAAAGTTTTGACAGGTATCAGAATAGTTTGTCATAACACTTTACCTTCCAAATTGATTCGAAGTGGGAGGATGAAACTAATTTTGTATACAAGCATGGTTTCCATTTACTTTTTTCTGTCTATCTTTTGTGGCTTTTCTCTTTTTTGCTATGGAACACAATTTTGTTAATATAGAATTAGTAGATAAAAGTTATTCTGTATTAACAGTTTCTCCAATTAAACCAAGAAACGTATTTCCAAAGCTTATTACATAAAAAAATTGTTTATCTACAAATATTTATCCTAGTTGTTGAAGGACTATTATTAGCTAGTAATTTATTCTGCTTACCCTGTGTTTTAGTGTGGCTTTCACCCTTCTGGTAACCCTTACTATAGAAATATCTAGCTATTTTAAAGCTACCTTTTATTTCTTCAGAGCAACTGCAAAGAACTTACTTTACCTTTTGGAAGACCACCGTTTATCACAGCAGAAAGTAGATATGGATTGGAGAAAAATTGTATTTGAGAAACTAAGGTTATTTTGTAAAGGATAATGGCAATTACTATACTTATAATCAGCTATCTGGATTTTTTAAAATTCTGGTCTAATTTTTTTAGCCTACAAATCTGAAATTCTAACTGGGCTAAGATATGGAATGGGTTATGTTTAAAATGCAGTTATATCATTGGTATGACAGACATTTATGTTTTTGTTTTTAAGGACATACAAAGATTAATACATGAGAAAATTTATTTTCATTAGAAAAAGAATTTTTAAGGTACTTACTAGTTTAAAAAGAAGCCATGTATGGCAAACATTTTCCATTGGAGTTCAGTATATTAAATAACTATATTCCTGTAACATTGGTGAAGCAACATTTTGAATGTATGGCTTACTCTTTTAAAATGACATTTTAAGTGTTAGATAGAGTACAGAAAAATTGAATCTTAGATCAACTGGAACTGTAATGTTTCAGGTCAGGGTGTAATTATGTTTTTCCAAGATATCGATCTAGAAGCTATAACTAGTGGAAAAAGAAAGAGTCTAGGTTGCCAATTTCTATCTGTTAGGACAGACCCGAGAAGGCCAAATAGGTCATTCAGCTGGTAGGTAATCTGAACAAACACCTTGTCAGACAGCAGAACACAAGCTACCATGTGGGTCTTGAGGGTTAAGGTTTTAATAATTTAAGTCAGAATGACAAAACTTAAGGAACTGAGTTAAATGAAGGATGGAGAGATAAGGAATTAGTAGGTGAGTGTAGATTAGAGATATTATTCTTATGGCAACTTACTGTAATTGCACATTGAGATTGGTGTAACTAAAAGTTCGTTTCCCAAGTGCATTGAGTACCACTATTAATTCTGTTCAGTTGGCAAACTTTTATTGTAATTTGTGCCATTAAAAATGTGAGATCTACTATCTATTGTATGTTCTTGATGGTTAGAAAGGTTAGAGGTGGAAGAGATATAGAAGGAAGAGTGCCCTCTCTAGAAGTAAGAGTCACTGAGATTAAACAAGAAAGGGAGTTTGTCTTGGAATAGATACAGAAGTGCTTAAACTTAGATTTGGCTAGATTTGGGTGGAAGTGATTATGCAGTGCCATGAGGTAGCCAGAAAATGCTGGAACAGAGACCTGTATGGTCTTCAGTTCTAGTATAGTATGATTGTATCCAAATATGTAAATAATTGGACTTTTCATCCAATAATTCACGTGAATACTGTACATGGAATGATAACTATAGAAACCAATGAACATACTCTTGTATTCAAGTTGCATAATGTTTCCTATTTGTTATATTTGAGTGTGTGATAAGCTTTCAGGTGAATTAAGTCCTCACTTAACATAAGTTTTTTGAAACTGCGACTTGAAGCAAAACTACATATAACAAAACCAATTTTTTGTTCTCATCAACATTACAATGGAATGAAGTTGAATGAAACAACACTATTCAAGGACCTGCTGTATGTATTTTTGCCTGAAATCACAGTTTCCAAGAATGATCAGTGGCATTAAGTGAAGACTTACTGTACACCTTATAAGCTTCAAGACCCATGAGCTCCCTTAAGCTGTCTCCTAGATTAGAATCAACAGGGAACCAGGAATTAATTTCTCCTGGATAGTCAAAGCATTGGAATTAAGTGGTTGATAGTTGCATTTACCTTTTCTTAGTTACCAACAGGATCTAGGACCTTGTAAGATTGGAGAAAAAGGAAACTGTCATTTACTGAGTGCTTTCTGTGTGCATATTATCTTATAGGCACCTAGCTTAGCAAAATATCTGGGTGAATTCATTATACAAATTTGTGTCTGAATTCTCAGAGGACCCAGGCATCTAGATGGAAGAAGAGCTAAATCTGTCAGAATTTCTAAGTTCTGGACTCCTAGCTTGAGAACAATGACATAGTCTCATGCTTCCAGCAGACATTTCTTTGGCCTCCTGCTTTAAGAACACCTATGTGAAAGCTACTTGTTTCATAGAGAACCCAGAGCACAGGTGGGGTGGTTCAGAAGTGATGCTATCAGCTATGTAAATAGGTGCATGACATATTTTGGTTGCTTTCGGAAATTGTAGGACCATTGAACAGATACTAAATGCTTAGTAATAAGTACAGAGTGCTCTAGGATTTCTTGCTCTTTTGAACACATGTTTTATAGTTGGGGAAGATAGGACATATTTATATGTAAAATATTAAATAACAGCCTGTGATGCTAACACATAGATTAAAAGATACCATGTGCAGAATGGTGTAGACAGACTTTTAGGGAGCAAATTCTGTCTATACCATTCTCCTTGAGGAGAACCAAAAAAAAAGGGAAGCTATAGTGGTATGGAAAAACTTCAAAAAGCAGGTAGGAATTAAAGTTGACAAATACTTATGGGTCCCTACCATACATGTTGTGCCATTCTAGATACTGCAGATGTGTGGTAGAAGAGATCATCCTCATTTATGCCATCTCTGCATAGTGTACCTACTGCTATGGTGTTGCTGCATTATTTATTGCATGTCCTCATTGCCTTTGTATCCTCTGTACCTCGCATATGACAAGCACTCAGTAAATCTTGAATGCATGATGAACAAGAAGCAGTCTCATATAATCTAGTAGGATAAGTACACAAATGATTTTACTATGTAGTAGAATAAGAAGTTCGAGGTTATTTGGATGTTTCAGATGAGATAGGGCACATTCAGGATGGTACGGCTGTAGACTATTTGGATATTTCAAAGACAGGAGTAATCAGGTATCTTGGAAAATGATTAGGAAAAGAATTTACTGATGAGATTATATTTGAGATTAGCATTGAACAGACTGTGAGTAAAGTTGTTTTAGCAGTGGGAATAACATCCACAGCATGGGATAGATTTAGGAATGGCCTACTTTATCAAGACAGGAGACACCTGTTAGGCTGTTATATTGATTTCAGCAAGAAGTACAGTCTTCACATTTCTGAGAGATTTATTTCAAGATCATTGCTACTTTTAAAGTTCAAGAACACAGCTATAGAATAACATTTTCCACCATAAAACATCCTTTTTGTGTGTGTGAAAACCATCACTTGATTAGACTATCTTATTTTATCTTCACTTTTGGTACCACCTGTTGGCTTTCTTTTCATAAGTATGACACACGCACACACACACACACAGAGCTAATATTTATTGAATATTATCTACTGTGTATCAGATGCGATTTTAAGTATTTATGTGAATTAACTCATTTAACCTTCACAGCAGCTCCACAAGAGTTTAAGGAATTTGTTCAAGGTTACACAGATTGTAAGTAGTAGAACCAGGATTATATTACTTTGTAAGAGTAACTATGTGAACATGAGCTGAAAACATCAGTTTCTTTGATACCTGAATGCCATGACCCTAGAAAGCCATTTGTACATAGTAGAAACTACCAGTGTTAAATCCACAGGTGCCAAGAATCTGTTGAATTAAGACATTGTGATAGAATGTATTCATTCTAATAATTATGTATTTATTGGGTGCCTACAATGAATGAGGTATTATTTCAAGATATAGATAAGAATATAGCAAATAACAAATGTCCTGTTTTTATGGAGAGAGAGAGAGAGAATGTTAGTAATACTGCAGTAGTCCAGGCAAAAAAAAATGGGATGACTTGGACTAGTGGAGGTGTTGAGAAGTGATCAGATTTGGTACATTTTGTAGATAGAGCTAACAGGACTTGATGATGTAGGAGTGAAAGAAAGGGATCAAGAATGATTTCTAAGGTTTCCGACCTGCAAACCTTTGTGAATGAGTGCCACTAATCTAGAGCAGAAATTTAGGTTGAGGAAGTGTAGAGTGTACTTGGGAGATCCACACAGCTATTCCACAGGTAAAGATTCTGTGGCACTCCTCTAAAGATCCAGCCAGATGTTGAGACTCTCAGCTGATTCGAGCACAGCAGCCACTTCTCATAGTTGTGGAAGCCACTTAGCTCCATCCATGTTTCTTGTCTTATACATTCTTAGCACCTAGAAGGCAAAGCCTGTTCCTCCGCCAGGTGTATAACTTGTCCTCATTTTCATATATCTCGTCATTCTCTCAGACTGAACTATTGTAACATTTATACCCACCTGACTCCCCACCACTGCCACCACCAAACACCTGGCTGAGTCTCATATGTTATTTAATTCATATACTATCTTCTGTCTCCTCCAGGAAAATTTTTCTGCTTCCAGACTCACTCTATTCCCAAGTCTGAGTTAGTGTGGTCCCTCCTACAAGCAGTCAAGCACGCTATGTCTACTGCATGTAAACACCTTGGTCATAGCACTTATTTATTTTTAAGTAGTCTTTTATATCTCTAGAACAAGAGAAGGGAAAGTATTCTTGCTGAGGAGTTAGATATGAGTAGTAAAGGACAGATTTGAGGAAAGGAATAGAGAAAGAAGAAAGAAGATTATAAATCAGATATGTAGTGTGTAAACAGAGTAAAATGCTTGTTAAGGTTAGAAAACATCTTTGGGTCTTGACAGAATTTTAATACTCTAGAACAGTGGTTCTCAACCCTGACTGCACCCATGGAAACACCTGGGGAATTTTTAAAATTCCACTGCCATGATTGCCCAAAATCACAATTGCTGGAGAGGAGACCTAGACATTAAAGTTCCCTGGATGATGCAAACATTATTAACTACCATTAAAAAATGGAAAATGATATTGGTTGCAAAAAAGGCATTGAAATAGGAGTCAAGAAATTGGATCATTGTCTTTAATGCCTCATTACTTGTGATCTTGAGCAAGTCACTTAATGCCTAGTGTGAATTCTTTATCTGTAACCTACTTGGATAATCTCTGGAGTCTTTTCTATTCTAAAATACTTTGAATTTAATGAAGAAAATTGCATAAGGAAATAATTTTACAGGAATCATTAACCAGCTAAGTGCAAGACAGGTTGAAGGTAAGAAGCCATTGAGATAAAGCACCATTTATGTTGTCCTTTTTAGTATGGGCATGCCAGTGAGTTCCTAGAGGAAGCTGGCTGCTTTGCAAATGGAAAAGGGGACACTTTAAGGCATCAGTTAAGGACTACTCTCTCCTGCCCCTATAAAGATTTTAGGGGACTTTATTTAAGTATGAATATTCAGGGATTTGGTTGCTATGATTTTATTTTTTCATGTAACTTAATATTTTTTATTTCTAGCAAAAAATTGAATAAAGAATGACGTATTTTGCCATAAGTGTTTAAGTGATGTGCTGTTAATCAGTTTGTGCAGTGGAAATAATTAATGGAATAATTTCTTAGATCATATTCTTTAAGGGTTTCTGAAAAATGATCAATAAGGAATTTGACTAACACCCTGCCAGATAAGAGGTAGGAATCTATTTAGAATGTGTTCGTATAGTCCTCCTAATATTGTGTTGTTATTATCAATTGTTAGATTGAAAGAAAAATTTGACTCAAAATTATAACCTTTTAAACTTTTTTTAAAATTTGTTTTTATTCTTTGTAAAAAGGTGATAACCTTTTTTATAAGATGATTATAAGAAGGAATTGAGAGGAAGTAGTATAGTGCTTTGTTGATAAGTGCCCAATAAATTTTAATTTTACTGTCCTTCCAGTCACCTGCTCATATACAAGCTCATTTATACATATTTATATTTTTGCCTGTTTTAGTTTTTTTATGCCAAGAAAAACTCCTTGAGTTCTTCCCATTTTTCTTTTTTTTTCTTTTTTTCAGCTGTATGTCCTATTCTTGGCATAATATTTTAGAGATGATTTTTCTGTGATTGTTTCTAATTATACTAGTGAGAGATTAGATTTTTTTCCCCTTGACCCTATTCAGTTGTGTTAGTTTGACTCAAGCAACTCAAAGTTAATGACTTAGTATATTTAGTTTCCAAAAAACAAATCTTTATATATACCTTTCCAGTGCCATTCTTTATGTTTTAAAGAAATTCAGTTTTTAAAATAAATTTAAAGTAACAATTATTAAGTATTCAGGGGTTGATGATCCAATTTGAAGTGATATATTCTTTTTTGATCTTTTTATACTACTTCAACAAAATTAAACTTAGACTTTTTGAATTTATTAGCTGTTTTTGTGAAGATTAATTTTAGAAAGCTAAAATTAAACACTGAAAGTAAGTTACTTTATTCCATACGGTCTCTGTCCAGTTTTAGCACTAAAATCAGTTCAAGGATGCCAATCCCTAATTGGCCAAATAGCCTTACCATTCTTGTTTTCTTCTCCAAATTTGTTTTTTTGCTGGTCAGATAACTTCCAATTTCTAAAATATTCCTGAAATGATAAATTTTTATGATACAGCATAGAATAATATGTATGTGGAGACTTGAAGGAGTCAAATCTCAATGAGCCTTTTGTAGGGCTTAACGATTGTTAAAAGGGGGCCAAAAGGGCACTAATTTTTGGAAAGTGTATGTTTGTTTATGGTGGTGAATGTGTAGAGAGGGTGAAAAGTAAAGGAAAAGTAGAACAAGAAGAAAGAAAACTGATAGGTATGACGATGAGAGAGAAAGAAAATGGAAGAGAGCAAGACGTGGAGATTTAGAAAAAAGGTTGAGGGAAACATATTCAAAAGGGAAAAAGAAAGCAGGGGGAAAATACATTAGAGGTGTTGAAATTAGTAGGCACTCACAGAGGTGCTAATCGAGAGTTCTGTTGGGCTCCTGTCATGCTGCTATTAAAGAGCATTAGCAGCTAAGAGATCTAAATTCTAGTCCTAGTTCTTTGTGTTGCCGTGGAGAAGTCAGTTAACTTACATGAGGCTCAGGTTCCTTACCTGTGTGTAAAATGGGAACATTGAACTAGGTGATCTTTAAGATCCCTTCCGGCTCTAAAATTGTTTGACATTATCTTGGTGGTCAGTAACTGTGAGAAACACATTCCTGAGGAAAATTTGCAGCTATAGTTGACTTCAGGACAGCATGTTTAGGGAGTAGAATGTAAGCTCCCTGAGGGTAGGGGCCTTTTCTGTTGTGTTCACTGCCATATCCCCAGCAGCTAGCACAATGCGTGTTACATAGTAGGCATTCATTAAATGTTTGTTGAATGAATGATGTGAAAAGTATGTTGATGGTTTGTTAGGAGCACACCTAGAAAGCCTCAAAGAAAAATGGTGTGCTTTAGGGAGGGAAAAGACAGATTTCTTCTGAAGAAATCTTAAGCAAGCTGATTTTTAATCCTTATTCTTCCTTATTTTGTCCCAGATTCAAAGAAAGTGGCTTCAGCTAGTGACATTCTCATAGTCACAAAACTTACGGTGACTGTAGACATACATAAAAGTGTACATGTAATCTAGGCCAGTTCCCTTAAAGTATCTTACAGAAAGGCAGGACCAAGCTTAGGTCTCCATGGAATCTGAGTGAAAAGTATATACATGGAATATATTAGTTATATTGAATTAGATTGATTGGATTAAAATTCATTCAGTTGAGAGGCACAGTTAGTCTACAAGCTGAGATACAGGCTGCCAAATTTAAGATAACGATCAGTGAGATACTCGCTAACCACTCCTATCCCTAGGTTAGAAGGTGAAACATTATTATGCCAAAGGATAAAATCACCTTAAATCCCTAGCACTGAAGTCATCTACTTACTGATTAGTTCTCACTCTATCTTATCACTTTTATTTAATCTCCAGTTCAGAATAAGTTTGGTTGATGAAGCAGACTAGAAGTAGAAAGCACTAAAAAGTGTGGGTCAGGAAGATGGAGGAAAGGGAGAGGAATTCGTAGACAGATATAACAGTGTAAGTGATAGCTGTACTTCTTGACTTTGAAGCATAAAAGGGAAAAAAATAAACGTATGCTGTCTATGATAATTATCCTGGATTATTAAAAAATTTATAATTCCTATGATCTGAATAAAAACTCAGGAAATATACATTTCTAAAAAAAGTTTATCCACAGTGGTTTTGTTTGTTTGTTTCGTATGAGAATGATAAAACTCTTAGCAGTCTTTAAAAAAAAAAAAACCTATTAGAATGTATAGTCCATCCCCACACCTGGCTCCAGGGGTACTAGATAAATACAGGGGCATTATATTTTGACGTCTTTTTAAATGTTTTAAAATTTTGTCTTTTATAGCTATATCAGTTTGAGTTTTTTTTAACAGTTGCTGGCATTTTATGTTGGGTTTGTAAAAACAGTAATGTTGAGAAATATGTATAAATAGTAAATTGGCTTTTTCTAAAATATAATTTTAAAGGATCACATAAAATTAAAGCTACTTCAGCAAAGCGGGGTTAAATGTCTTTCTGTATACATTAGTTGTGAATAAAGACATAAAAACACATTACTGCAAAATTTCATAATGGCCTCTTTGTATATACACATGTACATATATGCAAATAGGCCTTTAAGAAATTTTAGAGCAATATCCATTCATAATATTGTAACTTGTTAGTCATTTACATACTTCATAATGAAATTGAAATATGAAAAATAGGAATATGAAAGAAATATCCATTCATAATATTAAATTTCAGACTGGAACATATTTTTTGTTAAAATCAGAGTTTATTTGGAGTGAATCGAATATATCCATTTAAAATTTGCGTACTATGTTAGGTCATTAAAAGTGTCTTAAATCGCCAACTCCAGAAGATGGATAACAATTTCATTCCTGATGGCAATGAATTTCCTTCTTCTGAATTTTTTTATTAGGTGCACTAGGCCTTCCAATGAGGGGGATGAGCAACAATACCCCTCAGTTAAATCGCAGCTTATCACAAGGCACTCAGTTACCGAGCCACGTCACGCCAACAACAGGGGTACCAACAATGTCACTTCACACGCCTCCATCTCCAAGCAGGTATTTATTGATGGACCAGAATATTTTTCAAAATGTATCTTGGTAGAGTAAACAAACTTTTAGTTTTTTAATAAGGTAATTAATTACTTGATTTTCTGGTTCAGTGCCTTTCACTGAGGAAGAAAATACCTATGCTCTTTTTATTTCAGTGCAAATTGTTAAGTACAGTACAAGTGGTTTTTATACTGCAGCTCGCATACTGGTTGTCAGTGGGGTGGATATCAAGGGTTAATCATTTCCTGGGGAGCTTTTTCAAAAGGCACCTGTCTTCCTCAAAGGAATATGTGCAATTTAAAATTCCTCCCCAGATGATTGTGATCATTGCTCCCTCGCCACACATCCATTGCTCTAATGAGCATAAAGTAAAACAGATGACATAGACTATACATTTAGTATGCAGAGGATAGAACGATATGCCATTGAAATGAAATTATTCTAAATATGTGTGTGAAATACATTTATATTTTATGTCACAGTCACACCAGTAGTTCTCTCATCTTAGATACCACCTTTTATCAGTTGCACTATAATTTGCCCTTTATTGTTTGTTTACTTTTTCTTTTCAAAGAGCTAGAATGACTAAAGAATTAATAAAAATTAGAACTGCAATTTGAAAGTATATTTGAGATTCTAGGGTTGGACCAATTGATTATTTAAAGAGAATTTTAATGAGTGATTGTAGAGAGCTTATTTAGTATAATGGACTTCTTTTTCAGGGGTATTTTGCCTATGAATCCTAGGAATATGATGAACCACTCCCAGGTTGGTCAGGGCATTGGAATTCCTAGCAGGACAAATAGCATGAGCAGTTCAGGGTTAGGTAGCCCCAACAGAAGCTCGCCAAGCATAATATGTATGCCAAAGCAGCAGCCTTCTCGACAGCCTTTTACTGTGAACAGGTAAGATGTTTATTGATACTGTGTATAATTGTCTTTCTGGGTATACTCAGATTTGCCTTTTCATATTTTCACTTTGTTCTTGAGGTGTGGCTTCTCTCTAATAAGTGTGTTTCATCATGCATTTATGTCCAAAGATTCTGTTACCCATCACAAAACGATACGTTTTCTTGAAAATCAGGTTGATTTTGGAAAGCACATTAAAACATTTTGTTGTTGTGGTTGTTAGAAAAGGATTGTTCTTGGATTCGCCACCAGGCAAATTTTGGTTGATATGTCCTCTCTTTATAAAATAAGTTGATTACCTGTGTGGTAAGAGTTCTAGGTTTATGAATAGAACTGGAGACATGTTTGACTATTACTACTTTGCTTTAGTTATACTTTGAGTACCTTCTCAAGTAAGATTTGGTTTTGTGCATTGGAGACTTACCAACAAAAGACTTTTTAAGATCACATCTATAGTATTTGAAAACCGTATCATGTTTAGGGATTCAAAACAAAAAAACGGGTTTTTGTACTTTTTCACTTCTCTTTGTACTGTCTGTTGCATATACTTTGCGAATAAGAGGAGTTACTCATTTTGTTAGGATTTTCAAGCTGTTTGGGTAATTTGTATGAGAATTATGTCTGAAATATAACACTTTCTTGCAAAAGTAGTATTTAAGCTTGATTGCCTACATGTATATATATGTATTTTTTAAATGGAGAAATGTAGGGGCAAAACTACCTTGATCTAGTTGTTATCATCATACCTGTTTGATTCACTTTATTCTGTCTAGTAAAATCTGAATTAAAATAGGTTTAGCACATTTACTGTTTAATCCTCATTCCATAAACTCCAGGTTTTGCTTTTATTTAGATATCTATAATTTTACTGCTCTTTTAAATTTTAAAAAACTTATTTGTGAAGGGTTATCAAAATTCTCATCTCCTTGATACCTTTCTAACCTTATATCTTTATCATAACTTTATCATATCTTTGTGCGTTCTCATAGTATTGGGCATTGAATGTATAAATTTTTACCTTTCCATAGTTTTTCACATTTTGTTTTTAAAATACACTTTGCTTAAATTGTCAATGTAACATGGATCTCTAAAACCCTGCTTATTTCTACTATTGACAGATTGTATTTATTATAAATTGTTTTCATCTCTGAGCACTTATTCCATGTTTGATGGTACCTGTAATAGCATCAGCAATTCTAATATGCTATTAAACAAAAATTTCCATTGACTTTCTGGCTCTTCTCTAGAGTGTTTGTTGTTTTGTCAGCTGCATGTTTTATCAAAAAATTGTTTCACTATAGGTTTATAGATTTAGTCAAAACCCAAAAAACCCTGTCATCTTCATACAGATTAACCCCGCTTACAGCATTGATACACTAAGTGCCTTTTATCAGAAGAATATATGACATTAAAGACATGTGGTTTCACTATAGAATCTGCATTAACAATTCCTGTTGACACTCTTAATTATTTGGCCTTGCTCTAAGTTCTGCCTTATTTTTTTTTTTTTCTTCACATGCTTAGTCTTGTACAAAAAAGGGAGGGAGGCAACTGTAACTATTTACGAAATACCAGTTGTGTATTAATTTAAAATTGGGGACACCATAGACTGTGTTTTCTTTTAAGTATATGAAAGGTAAACTATATTTAGATAAGAATGATGTATTTTTGAGCACTGAATTCAATTTTAAAACGCACCATTCAATTCAGGTCACTACATATTTATTGAATGTCTATTATGTCTTCCTGAACACTAAAGGGCAGAAGACACAGAGAGGAGTTTAACATGGGAGGAGTATGACATAAACTCCTGTGTCCATGAGGAGTTTATATTCTAGTTGGGAAGATGAATACTGTAAGAGAGAAGATCTATTATGAAAAGTAATATTTGCAAGCTTTACCAGTAAAGAAGAAAAACAACTATTTAGCAAGAATAATCTTAACACTAACCTGCATATTTTTGAGGTTAGGTAATTCAGGTATCCAGGAAGTTGGCTCTTCAAGTACACAAAATGGTGCCCTGAATCTGTTTTCCTCAAGGTTCATATATAAATTTTTGAGTTTTTGTTTTTTAACTAATCTGCCTAAAATGTTCTGGTTCTCATTTGTTCATGGAAGGACTTTAGAGAAGTTTTCAAGTAAAGATAAAGAATAGATTCAGAAAAATAATATTAGTGTTGGTTTTGAAACATATTGTTATTTTATATGGAGACCAAAAATACACACTTCTGTTTTTCTTCATCTGAAAGTTAGTGTTCTTACTGTATATCTAAAACTATTTTCTATGTACCCAGTATGTCTGGATTTGGAATGAACAGGAATCAGGCATTTGGAATGAATAACTCCTTATCAAGTAACATTTTTAATGGAACAGGTAAGCTTATTCTGGAGCTAGTACCCTACAAAAAGTATGATAGATTTATGAAATATAAAGCAATTCAACATACTGGTCTTTAAATACGGTAGGATTTTTTATTATGTTAGATGGTAGATTTTAATTCAGTGAAAAATAGGAATAGGATTCAATACAGTGAATAGTTGAGAGAGATGTAAATTTTTTTTACTTAGCATGGTAACGTAGTAATTTGTGTTATAACATCAGGATTATTTCCTTAACACCTGGAGAGAGCCTACACATTAACTTAGTTAGTATTTATGCCTCAAAATATTTTGCTTCATAGCTTTTACTGTCCTCAGCCCTGTCACTGTGAGAACTATAGCTTAGACTAGGTTGGGTGGTATGACATTCTGGCTATGGAGATCCAGATTGAAGAGAACCTTTAAAATTGTATGGAACACTTACGTTTTTTCTTAATAGTTTTAATAATACTAATGTTGGCATTTAACCTTTATGAATTGTTGATTCAGTTTTATGTATAAAATTTAGTTACATGGAAAACCAACTCTGATTTTGACAGTAAAAAATTCCTTCAGTCTTTTGGTTTATTTCTTTTATCAACTGCTTCAGATAGAAGAGAACAGGAAGCTTTGTTGCTATTTTGCTTTAGGTTTTACCTTCTCCACCCTACAGACCCTTTCCTGAGAAAGGAAATAAAGGATGTTATGATCATAGGAGCAAAAATGAACAGCATTATTGGAGAGGATTAAATGTAAAGGAAGTGGAAGGTAAAAGAATGCTCACTGAAATGGAGCATTTGTAGAGGCAAGAGAAGATTTAATAAGGAAATGTCATTTGTAGCTATGAGCTTTTAATTTCTAAATGTTAATGTATGCTCAGCAGCATAGATTAATCACACAAGATTAAAATCTTTGAAAAAAGATTCCAAATTTTAGCATTTGTAAGTGGTGGCTTGTGTTCAAGATGTAGTATGAAATACTGTATTCCATTCTTTCTAAAATGTACATTTCTTCATAATTTAATGTCTTTGAAATCAGGCTACATCTGCATATCATAGTTTAATTGTAGTTTTTTTCTAAATGTGATGTAAATTAACAGTAAAGATGTCTGACAGTGCCATCTTAGATTCTGCATTATGGTTTTATACAGTGCTATAAAACTTGAGAATTATTTTTTAAATTCTGTTTTAACTAAGCATATTTTATGCTAGGAAAATTCCCAATTCTTTCATAAAAATATAGATTGGGGGTTTATTAACTTTATTAGGTTGAAACATAGTCTCAAATAATAAATGGCAAATTTAAATTCCATCTTGGAGGACCTAAAGATATGTATTAAAAGTTAATATATATTCAAAATGTATGACTCATTTATAATCAAAGAATTTGAGAAATTATAAATTGAAACAGGATATAAATTTTTAATTTCTACTGTCTTATTCAGTGGTAATTTTTTATTCAAAGTTCTTAAGCTGCAGAAATAAATTTATAAACTGCAGTTTTTGTAAACAGCCAGGTATAAATGATTTATCCTTTACCCTTGTAATTTGAAATTGTCACCTGTCTTTGAATGTTAATAAATTAATGGTGTCTATTGTTTTTCTGTCAACAAAGTAATCTTGAGATAACAGTTACTGTTTGAGATTCTTACAGTTGTGAAATTTGGAGAAAACTAAAAATTAATTGGGAAGTGGCAAAATAAATTGAAAATGGTAAAACAAAAATTAAAAGCTATAGCGCAGGCTAAAAGGACGGTAGAAAGTTTTCTTCAAAAATTAAGAACCCAAGGTTATAAGAATACTAAAAAGTTAAGAAATTGAGATGATTAAAATAGACAAAGTAGAGAAGTTGGGTTAAATTTTAATTTTTAAAGGAAGCCAGCTGATTGTTTTAACTTAAAATGAACAAAAATACATTTAATTTATTCTATATATATTTATTGAGCGCCTACTGTGTAATAGGTAATATAAACTTCTGGGCTTTGTATCATATTTCTATATTTCCTATCCATTTACCATATATGGGAACCCTACTGCCACCCTGTTGTACCCCACCCTCAAAATGCGCACATGCGCACGCACACACGTTTGTATATGAAAGCGGTCAATTACAGGTGGAAGTCCTCAGGGCTTCTGCTTCACTGCCTGTGCCTCAGCTATATCTTTCTGGCCATTTGCAGGAGGCACTATCATTGTCACCATTTGTGTGTAACCGAAGCTTCAAGCATTCTAGATATAACCTCCATCTGAGCATAATGAAAAGACAAGTTATATCGTAACAATCTCCCTCTTGTTAGCTCACAAGCTATAATTTTAGGTTACCATCTTCCATGGGGGAAATATATGCTTTTTATTCTCTTTGTTACATCTCTAGGATTTGGGGTTTCTATTATGCTGGTTGCGTATTCCTTTGCTAAATTGTTCATGGAATTCTTTGACATGAAATCAATCTGCAAGTATCTTTTGAGCACCTACATACACCTAGTACAGTGCCGTGCATTATTTAGGAAGAAGGCGCAATCATTTCGAATTATATTATGGTTGGTTTTTATAATCTCTTAAAAAATATTTGTAGAATCAATAACCAGTGTCCTTTCTTATTATTTAGACGGAAGTGAAAATGTGACAGGATTGGACCTTTCAGATTTCCCAGCATTAGCAGACCGAAACAGGAGGGAAGGAAGTGGTAACCCAACTCCATTAATAAACCCCTTGGCTGGAAGAGCTCCTTATGGTAATTAAGCTTTTTAATGATGGCCAGTAGAAAGTTTCCATTGTATGTGCACACACATATACATTTACATGTACGTATACATATGCTTGTGTGTGTACACATGTATGTTTGCATTTTCTAATCAGGTTAGTGTAATTTTTTCAGAATTGATATATTAGAAGTGATTTTTCTTCCCAGAATACCATGATAGCAAAGTTAAATGGGAAAACTTTGTACAAAAACCCAAGAGGAAGTCCTCATTGGTATTCAGAAGTTATTTTCTTCTGTTATCCCTGCCTTAGTTTACCTTAAGTGTTTTATTTTGTGGTCTGCCTTTTCTCTCCTTAATTGATCACACATTTTTTCAAAATAATATATTCCTGGTGATTAATAATGACTGACTATACATTGAAGATGTTTTTCTGAGCCAAGGTTTTTCTCAACCTCCACACTGTTGACATTTGGGCCAGGTAATTCTTTGTAGAGAGGAGATGTGGGGGGCTATTGTGTTTATACAGAATGTTAAGCAATATTCCTGGCCTTGGCCTACAAGATGCTAGTAGCACTTTCTGTTTCTAACCCCCATAGCCTCTATTGTGACAGACACAAATGTTTTCAGACATTGGCAGATGTCACCTGGGGAAAAAAAATTGCCCCCTGTTGAAAACCATTGCTCATGGGTCATGTATAGCTTATGCAGACTCTTGGTCTCCGTTAATATCCTTCATCACCCTTTTTCACTGTCTCTAATAGATAAGAAATTTGGCTAATCAGGGATAAATGGAAATAAAGGAGGGGAAACATATGCAATAACAATATAACAATGTAGATATGAAAATTCTGTGACAGCAATGTAGCTATACTATTTTTATCACATAGTTTTTTTCTTTTGGGAAAACCTGATAGAGACCAGTAACAAAACGGTGAATTTAAAAGAATCAGTTCATCCATTATTTTAAGATAGAATTAATATTTGATCACATTTTCAACCAAGAAGGATTTCTGTGCCATTCAGATATGAATACAAATAACAGTATATGAAGAAGGGAAACATTTATTGTTTATATTCTAAAGTTTCCAAATTAGTCTCCCCAAAATAAAAAAAAAAATGATCTGCCCTGGAAGTTGAGTACCTAGCTACTTGATTCTCAGTTCAGACTCTAATGTTTTTAACCTTTCCTCATAGGTCCATTTTTTCATCCCTTTAATCATTCCCGTTGCTCTCCTTGGACCATCTCTAGTTTCTCCATATCGTTCTTGAATTGTGGAGCCCCAAACTGGATATTGTTCTCCAATAAGGGCCCGACTAATGCCAAGTATAGTGGGAGGATTATTTCCCAGTTCTTGCATGTTTTACATCTATAACATGGAGTCCAAGAAAATCTGAAATAATATGGAGTTGTTTTATAATTGATTGCAATTTGCTCACTCTGTAAGTCGCTTTCAAGTAGAATACTGACATATTCTTTTAAATTTTATTTTGTTCATTTGTATTTGAGAGTTAACTGGTATTTATAATATCTAGTCAAATATTTAAATAAAACAAGCTTTTAAACCAAAATTGTTAATAATTAATCCAATATCAAATTAAATTTTTAAGCACCTACGCATGACATGGATTACTGTTGATTTCCCTTGTATTATTTTGTATGTTGAGTTATTAATCAGTAAATGAAAATTTAGTTCTTCATTGTTACCCTGGATACTAATTTTTTGAAGTACGCTTTCATAGCATTAAAAAAAAGAAACCTTTTGGTGTATTATCATGAGGAAAGTTAACTTTATAATCTGTAGCAAAATATCATAAATATCAATTGCAATTCTCCGGATTATTTTCATTACATAGTTGGAATGGTAACAAAACCAGCAAATGAACAATCCCAGGACTTCTCAATACACAATGAAGATTTTCCAGCATTACCAGGCTCCAGCTATAAAGATCCAACATCAAGTAATGATGACAGTAAATCTGTAAGTAACTGAGAAGTGTGTATGTGAGTGATGTAGTTTTTCCCTTCAGATTTCTCTTATATTAACAATTACTTACTAAATACTATTACAAAACTGTTTTATCTTGATATCTGTAATAACCTAACTTCTGAAGAATGTGGAAAAGCTTTATAACTTAGAAGATAGCCTATTTTTTTCCTATTTCATATAGGTTTGCAAATTTCTGTTGAACTTCTCAGAGTTAATTTAGACTTTTATTGTAGTCCCTGTCAGCTGGATCCCATGAAGTTTGATAATATAGCCTTCTAAGGAGCTGTGTTTTTCTTGAGTAAGTTTTCTCCTTGAAGAATTTATACACATTTTTATACCTGTGTTGATTCAACCAACTCAGCTTCTTCTTTCTGACTTAACAAATATGTTTATTTCTTCCACATTTCACTGAAAATAGCTTTTCTCTGTGTGTGATGGGAGTTTATATATTATTAAAATAATTGATAAAGAAGATCGGTAAGAATTAAAATAAGTACAAAGTTTTAAAGCTTGTATGTCTAACTTATCTTCAAGGTAGCTTTGGTGATTTTAGGTAATATACTATATTTAGTTTCTCTTTTACATGAAAGCATTGAGGAGTGTAACTTCAAGTGTATCCCAAAGCATAAAGACCTGAGAAAGAGATAGATTTTTTTTTTTCTGTGACTGAAGATCTGAGATAAATAAGATATTTTCCCTTGATTTCTTTTTCTTTAAATACTCAAATGTGGATGATATAGGATTTATTTGTATACCATGGAACAATGATGGAAACAATTTTCTATAGAACTTGAAAAACAGGTAATAATTTAACTACCAATTTAAATGTAATAAAGAATAAATAGCAAGGTATTAATATGTGAACTTGAATTTGTATACTTAACAAATTTTAATGTCACATTTAATTTTTTTCATGCTAGAATTTGAATACATCTGGCAAGACAACTTCAAGTACAGATGGACCCAAATTCCCTGGAGATAAAAGTTCAACAACACAAAATAATAACCAGCAGAAAAAAGGGATCCAGGTGTTACCTGATGGTGGGACTCTAGAAATCTATGTCAAAGATATTATAGAATGCTTTTTTTTCTATTTTTTAACTTTTTCTTGAAAATAAAAGCAACTGTGTTTTTCCTACCCAGGTCGGGTTACTAACATTCCTCAAGGGATGGTGACGGACCAATTTGGAATGATTGGCCTGTTAACATTTATCAGGGCAGCAGAGACAGACCCAGGAATGGTACATCTTGCATTAGGAAGTGACTTAACAACATTAGGCCTCAATCTGAACTCTCCTGAGTAAGTTTTTTCTGTTTTTCCATGTCTGTATATAATACCTCTTCAGACTTCCAGTTTTTAATATCATGTCATCAAATTATCTCACCTACTGCT